>NC_000012.12:36797745-36966743 GCF_000001405.40 Homo sapiens
AGAATACTGAGTAAGTTCTTTGTGTTGCCTCTATTCAACTCACAGACGTGAACTGTCCTTTAGACAGAGCAGATGTGAAACCCTCTTTTTGTGATATTTGCACGTGGAGATTTCAAGCGCTTTTAGGCCAAATGTAGAAAACGAAATATCTTCGTATAAAAACTAGACAGAATCATTCTCAGAAACTACTTTGTGATGTGTGCATTCAATTCACAGAGTATAACCTTTCTTTTGATGGAGGAGTTTGGAGACACTGTCTTTGTAAAGTCTGCAAGTGGATATTTGGACCTCTTTGAGACCTTCGTTGGAAACGGGATTTCCTCATATAATGTTACACAGAAGAATTCTCAGTAACTTATTTGTGGTGTGTGTATTCAACTCACAGATTTGAACCTTCCTTCAGAAAGAGCAGATTTGAAACACTCTTTATGTGGAGTTTCCATGTGGAGATTTCAATCGCTTTGGGACCAAAGGTAGAAAAGGAAACATCTTCGTATAAAAACTAGACAGAATCATTCACAGAAACTACTTTGTGATGTGTGTGTTCAACTCAAGGAGTTTAACCTTTCTTTTGATGGAGCAGTTTGGAAAAACTCTGTCTTTAAAGTCTGCAAGCACATATTTGGACCTCTTTGAGGCCTTCGTTGGAAACGGGATTTCTTCATATAATGTTTGATAGGAGAAGTCTCAGTAACTTCTTTGTGCTGTGTGTATTCAACTCATTGAGTTGAACTTTCCTTTAGAAGAGCAGATGTTAAACACCCTTTTTGTGGAATTTGCAGCTGGAGATTTCAAGCGCTTTGAGTCCTACGGTAGAAAAGGAAACATCTTCTTATAAAATCTAGACAGAATCATTCACAGAAACTTCTTTTTGATGTGTGTGTTCAGCTCACAGAGTTTAACCTTTCTTTTGATGGAGCCGTTTGGAAACACTCTGTTTGTAATATCTGCAAGTGGATATTTGGACCTCTTTGAGGCCTTCGTTGGAAACGGGATTTCTTCAAGTAATGTTCGACAGAAGAATTCTCAATAACTTATTTGTGGTGTGTGTATTCAACTCACAGAGTTGAACCTTCCTTTAGACAGAGCAGATTTGAAACACCCTATTTGTGCAGTTTCCAGTTGGAGATTTCAATCGCTTTGAGACCAAATGTAGAAAAGGAAACATCTTCGTATAAAAACTAGACAGAATCATTCTCAGAAACTACTTTGTGATGTGTGCGTTCAACTCAAGGAGTTTAAGCTTTCTTTTCATAGAGTAGTTTGGAAACACTCTGTCTGTAAAGTGTGCAAGCAGATATTTGGACCTCTTTGAGGCCTTCGTTGGAAACGGGATTTCTTCATAGAACGCTAGAAAGAAGAATACTGAGTAAGTTCTTTGTGTTGCCTCTATTCAACTCACAGAGGTGAACTGTCCTTTAGACAGAGCAGATGTGAAACCCTCTTTTTGTGATATTTGCAGGTGGAGATTTCAAGCGCTTTTAGGCCAAATGTAGAAAAGGAAATATCTTCTGTATAAAAACTAGACAGAATCATTCTCAGAAACTACTTTGTGATGTGTGCGTTCAATTCACAGAGTATAACCTTTCTTTTGATGGAGGAGTTTGGAGACACTGTCTTTGTAAAGTCTGCAAGTGGATATTTGGACCTCTTTGAGGCCTTCGTTGGAAACGGGATTTCCTCATATAATGTTACCCAGAAGAATTCTCAGTAACTTATTTGTGGTGTGTGTATTCAACTCACAGAGATGAACCTTCCTTCAGAAAGAGCAGATTTGAAACACTCTTTTTGTGGAGTTTCCATGTGGAGATTTCAATCGCTTTGAGACCAAAGGTAGAAAAGGAAACATCTTCGTATAAAAACTAGACAGAATCATTCACAGAAACTACTTTGTGATGTGTGTGTTCAACTCAAGGAGTTTAACCTTTGCTTTTGATGGAGCAGTTTGGAAACACTCTGTCTGTAAAGTCTGCAAGCAGACATTTGGACCTCTTTGAGGCCTTCGTTGGAAACGGGATTTCTTCATATAATGTTTGATAGGAGAAGTCTCAGTAACTTCTTTGTGCTGTGTGTATTCAACTCATAGAGTTGAACTTTCCTTTAGAAGAGCAGATGTTAAACACCCTTTTTGTGGAATTTGCAGCTGGAGATTTCAAGCGCTTTGAGGCCTACGGTAGAAAAGGAAACATCTTCTTATAAAATCTAGACAGAATCATTCACAGAAACTTCTTTTTGATGTGTCTGTTCAGCTCACAGAGTTTAACCTTTCTTTTGATGGAGCAGTTTGCAAACACTCTGTTTGTAATGTCTGCATGTGGATATTTGGACCTCTTTGAGGCCTTCGTTGGAAACGGGATTTCTTCCTGTAATGTTTGACAGAAGAATTCTCAGTAACTTATTTGTGGTGTGTGTATTCAACTCACAGAGTTGAACCTTCCTTTAGACAGAGCAGATTTGAAACACCCTATTTGTGCAGTTTGCAGTTGGAGATTTCAATCGCTTTGAGACCAAATGTAGAAAAGGAAACATCTTCGTATAAAAACTAGACAGAATCATTCTCAGAAACTACTTTGTGATGTGTGCGTTCGACTCAAGGAGTTTAAGCTTTCTTTTCATAGAGTAGTTTGGAAACACTCTGTCTGTAAAGTCTGCAAGCAGATATTTGGACCTCTTTGAGGCCTTCGTTGGAAATGGGATTTCTTCATGTAACGCTAGAAAGAAGAATACTGAGTAAGTTCTTTGTGTTGCCTCTATTCAACTCACAGAGGTGAACTGTCCTTTAGGCAGAGCAGATGTGAAACCCTCTTTTTGTGATATTTGCAGGTGTAGATTTCAAGCGCTATTAGGCCAAACGTAGAAAAGGAAATATCTTCGTATAAAAACTAGACAGAATCATTCTCAGAAACTACTTTGTGATGTGTGCGTTCAATTCACAGAGTATAACCTTTCTTTTGATGGAGGAGTTTGGAGACACTGTCTTTGTAAAGTCTGCAAGTGGATATTTGGACCTCTTTGAGGCCTTCGTTGGAAACGGGATTTCCTCATATAATGTTACACAGAAGAATTCTCACTAACTTATTTGTGGTGTGTGTATTCAACTCACAGAGATGAACCTTCCTTCAGAAAGAGCAGATTTGAAACACTCTTTTTGTGGAGTTTCCATGTGGAGATTTCAATCGCTTTGAGACCAAAGGTAGAAAAGGAAACATCTTCGTATAACAACTAGACAGAATCATTCACAGAAACTACTTTGTGATGTGTGTGTTCAACTCAAGGAGTTTAACCTTTCTTTTGATGGAGCAGTTTGGAAACACTCTGTCTGTAAAGTCTGCAAGCAGATATTTGGACCTCTTTGAGGCCTTCGTTGGAAACGGGATTTCTTCATATAATGTTTGATAGGAGAAGTCTCAGTAACTTCTTTGTGCTGTGTGTATTCAACTCATAGAGTTGAACTTTCCTTTAGAAGAGCAGATGTTAAACACCCTTTTTGTGGAATTTGCAGCTGGAGATTTCAAGCGCTTTGAGGCCTACGGTAGAAAAGGAAACATCTTCTTATAAAATCTAGACAGAATCATTCACAGAAACTTCTTTTCGATGTGTGTGTTCAGCTCACAGAGTTTAACCTTTCTTTTGATGGAGCAGTTTGGAAACACTCTGTTTGTAATGTCTGCAAGTGGATATTTGGACCTCTTTGAGGCCTTCGTTGGAAACGGGATTTCATCAAGTAATGGTCGACAGAAGAATTCTCAGTAACTTATTTGTGGTGTGTGTATTCAACTCACAGAGTTGAACCTTCCTTTAGACAGAGCAGATTTGAAACACCCTATTTGTGCAGTTTCCAGTTGGAGATTTCAATCGCTTTGAGACCAAATGTAGAAAAGGAAACATCTTCGTATAAAAACTAGACAGAATCATTCTCAGAAACTACTTTGTGATGTGTGCGTTCAACTCAAGGAGTTTAAGCTTTCTTTTCATAGAGTAGTTTGGAAACACTCTGTCTGTAAAGTCTGCAAGCAGATATTTGGACCTCTTTGGGGCCTTCGTTGGAAACGGGGTTTCTTCATAGAACGCTAGAAAGAAGAATACTGAGTAAGTTCTTTGTGTTGCCTCTATTCAACTCACAGAGGTGAACTCTCCTTTACATAGAGCAGATGTGAAACCCTCTTTTTGTGATATTTGCAGGTGGAGATTTCAAGCGCTTTTAGGCCAAATGTAGAAAAGGAAATATCTTCGTATAAAAACTAGACAGAATCATTCTCAGAAACTACTTTGTGATGTGTGCGTTCAATTCACAGAGTAGAACCTTTCTTTTGATGGAGGAGTTTGGAGACACTGTCTTTGTAATGTCTGCAAGTGGATATTTGGACCTCTTTGAGGCCTTCGTTGGAAACGGGATTTCCTCATATAATGTTACACAGAAGAATTCTCAGTAACTTATTTGTGGTGTGTGTATTCAACTCACAGAGTTCAACCTTCCTTCAGAAAGAGCAGATTTGAAACACTCTTTTTTGTGGAGTTTCCATGTGGAGATTTCAATCGCTTTGAGACCAAAGGTAGAAAAGGAAACATCTTCGTATAAAAACTAGACAGAATCATTCACAGAAACTACTTTGTGATGTGTGTGTTCAACTCAAGGAGTTTAACCTTTCTTTTGATGGAGCAGTTTGGAAACACTCTGTCTGTAAAGTCTGCAAGCAGATATTTGGACCTCTTTGAGGCCTTCGTTGGAAACGGGATTTCTTCATATAATGTTTGATAGGAGAAGTCTCAGTAACTTCTTTGTGCTGTGTGTATTCAACTCATAGAGTTGAACTTTCCTTTAGAAGAGCAGATGTTAAACACCCTTTTTGCGGAATTTGCAGTTGGAGATTTCAAGCGCTTTGAGGCCTACGGTAGAAAAGGAAACATCTTCTTATAAAATCTAGACAGAATCATTCACAGAAACTTCTTTTTGATGTGTGTGTTCAGCTCACAGAGTTTAACCTTTCTTTTGATGGAGCAGTTTGGAAAAACTCTGTTTGTAATATCTGCAAGTGAATATTTGGACCTCTTTGAGGCCTTCGTTGGAAACGGGATTTCTTCAAGTAATGTTCGACACAAGAATTCTCAGTAACTTATTTGTTGTGTGTGTATTCAACTCACAGAGTTGAACCTTCCTTTAGACAGAGCAGATTTGAAACACCCTATTTGTGCAGTTTCCAGTTGGAGATTTCAATCGCTTTGAGGCCAATCATAGAAACGGAAATATCTTCGTATAAAAACAAGACAGAATCATTCTCCGAAACTACTTTGTGATGTGTGCGTTCAACTCAAGGAGTTTAAGCTTTCTTTTCATAGAGTAGTTTGGAAACACTCTGTCTGTAAAGTCTGCAAGCAGATATTTGGACCTCTTTGGGGCCTTCGTTGGAAACGGGATTTCTTCATAGAACGCTAGAAAGAAGAATACTGAGTAAGTTCTTTGTGTTGCCTCTATTCAACTCACAGAGGTGAACTGTCCTTTAGACAGAGCAGATGTGAAACCCTCTTTTTGTGATATTTGCACGTGGAGATTTCAAGCGCTTTTAGGCCAAATGTAGAAAAGGAAATATCTTCGTATAAAAACTAGACAGAATCATTCTCAGAAACTACTTTGTGATGTGTGCGTTCAATTCACAGAGTATAACCTTTCTTTTGATGGAGGAGTTTGGAGACACTGTCTTTGTAAAGTCTGCAAGTGGATATTTGGACCTCTTTGAGGCCTTCGTTGGAAACGGGATTTCCTCATATAATGTTACACAGAAGAATTCTCAGTAACTTATTTGTGGTGTGTGTATTCAACTCACAGAGTTGAACCTTCCTTCTGAAAGAGCAGATTTGAAACACTCTTTTTGTGGAGTTTCCATGTGGAGATTTCAATCGCATTGAGACCAAAGGTAGAAAAGGAAACATCTTCGTATAAAAACTAGACAGAATCATTCACAGAAACTACTTTGTGATGTGTGTGTTCAACTCAAGGAGTTTAACCTTTCTTTTGATGGAGCAGTTTGGAAACACTCTGTCTGTAAAGTCTGCAAGCAGATATTTGGACCTCTTTGAGGCCTTCGTTGGAAACGGGATTTCTTCATATAATGTTTGATAGGAGAAGTCTCAGTAACTTCTTTGTGCTGTGTGTATTCAACTCATAGAGTTGAACTTTCCTTTAGAAGAGCAGATGTTAAACACCCTTTTTGTGGAATTTGCAGCTGGAGGTTTCAAGCGCTTTGAGTCCTACGGTAGAAATGGAAACATCTTATAAAATCTTGACAGAATCATTCACAGAAACTACTTTGTGATGTGTGTGTTCAACTCAAGGAGTTTAACCTTTCTTTTGATGGAGCAGTTTGGAAACACTCTGTCTGTAATGTCTGCAAACAGATATTTGGACCTCTTTGAGGCCTTCGTTGGAAACGGGATTTCTTCAAGTAATGTTCGACAGAAGAATTCTCAGTAACTTATTTGTGGTGTGTGTATTCAACTCACAGAGTTGAACCTTCCTTTAGACAGAGCAGATTTGAAACACCCTATTTGTGCAGTTTCCAGTTGGAGATTTCAATCGCTTTGAGACCAAATGTAGAAAAGGAAACATCTTCGTATTAAAACTAGACAGAATCATTCTCAGAAACTACTTTGTGATGTGAGCGTTCAACTCAAGGAGTTTAAGCTTTCTTTTCATAGAGTAGTTTGGAAACACTGTCTGTAAAGTCTGCAAGCAGATATTTGGACCTCTTTGGGGCCTTCGTTGGAAACGGGATTTCTTCATAGAACGCTAGAAAGAAGAATACTGAGTAAGTTCTTTGTGTTGCCTCTATTCAACTCACAGAGGTGAACTGTCCTTTAGACAGAGCAGATGTGAAACCCTCTTTTTGGGATATTTGCAGGTGGAGATTTCAAGCGCTTTTAGGTCAAATGTAGAAAAGGAAATATCTTCGTATAAAAACTAGACAGAATCATTCTCAGAAACTACTTTGTGATGTGTGCGTTCAATTCACAGAGTATAACCTTTCTTTTGATGGAGGAGTTTGGAGACACTGTCTTTGTAAAGTCTGCAAGTGGATATTTGGACCTCTTTGAGGCCTTCGTTGGAAACGGGATTTCCTCATATAATGTTACCCAGAAGAATTCTCAGTAACTTATTTGTGGTGTGTGTATTCAACTCACAGAGTTGAACCTTCCTTCAGAAAGAGCAGATTTGAAACACTCTTTTTGTGGAGTTTCCATGTGGAGATTTCAATCGCTTTGAGACCATAGGTAGAAAAGGAAACATCTTCGTATAAAAACTAGACAGAATCATTCACAGAAACTACTTTGTGATGTGTGTGTTCAACTCAAGGAGTTTAACCTTTCTTTTGATGGAGCAGTTTGGAAACACTCTGTCTGTAAAGTCTGCAAGTAGATATTTGGACCTCTTTGAGGCCTTCGTTGGAAACGGGATTTCTTCATATAATGTTTGATAGGAGAAGTCTCAGTAACTTCTTTGTGCTGTGTGTATTCAACTCATAGAGTTCAACTTTCCTTTAGAAGAGCAGATGTTAAACACCCTTTTTGTGGAATTTGCAGCTGGAGATTTCAAGCGCTTTGAGGCCTACGGTAGAAAAGGAAACATCTTCTTATAAAATCTAGACAGAATCATTCACAGAAACTTCTTTTCGATGTGTGTGTTCAGCTCACAGAGTTTAACCTTTCTTTTGATGGAGCAGTTTGGAAACACTCTGTTTGTAATGTCTGCAAGTGGATATTTGGACCTCTTTGAGGCCTTCGTTGGAAACGGGATTTCTTCAAGTAATGGTCGACAGAAGAATTCTCAGTAACTTATTTGTGGTGTGTGTATTCAACTCACAGAGTTGAACCTTCCTTTAGACAGAGCAGATTTGAAACACCCTATTTGTGCACTTTACAGTTGGAGATTTCAATCGCTTTGAGACCAAATGTAGAAAAGGAAACATCTTCGTATAAAAACTAGACAGAATCATTCTCAGAAACTACATTGTGATGTGTGCGTTCAACTCAAGGAGTTTAAGCTTTCTTTTCATAGAGTAGTTTGGAAACACTCTGTCTGTAAAGTCTGCAAGCAGATATTTGGACCTCTTTGGGGACTTCGTTGGAAACGGGATTTCTTCATAGAACGCTAGAAAGAAGAATACTGAGTAAGTTCTTTGTGTTGCCTCTATTCAACTCACAGAGGTGAACTGTCCTTTAGACAGAGCAGATGTGAAACCCTCTTTTTGTGATATTTGCAGGTGGAGATTTCAAGCGCTTTTAGGCCAAATGTAGAAAAGGAAATATCTTCGTATAAAAACTAGACAGAATCATTCTCAGAAACTACTTTGTGATGTGTGCGTTCAATTCACAGAGTATAACCTTTCTTTTGATGGAGGAGTTTGGAGACACTGTCTTTGTAAAGTCTGCAAGCAGATATTTGGACCTCTTTGAGGCCTTCGTTGGAAACGGGATTTCTTCATATAATGTTTGATAGGAGAATTCTCAGTAACTTATTTGTGGTGTGTGTATTCAACTCACAGAGTTGAACCTTCCTTCAGAAAGAGCAGATTTGAAACACTCTTTTTGAGGAGTTTCCATGTGGAGATTTCAATCGCTTTGAGACCAAAGGTAGAAAAGGAAACATCTTCTTATAAAAACTAGACAGAATCATTCACAGAAACTACTTTGTGATGTGTGTGTTCAACTCAAGGAGTTTAACCTTTCTTTTGATGGAGCAGTTTGGAAAAACTCTGTCTGTAAAGTCTGCAAGCAGATATTTGGTCCTCTTTGAGGCCTTCGTTGGAAACGGGATTTCTTCATATAATGTTTCATAGGAGAAGTCTCAGTAACTTCTTTGTGCTGTGTGTATTCAACTCATAGAGTTGAACTTTCCTTTAGAAGAGCAGATCTTAAACACCCTTTTTGTGGAATTTGCAGTTGGAGATTTCAAGCGCTTTGAGGACTACAGTAGAAAAGGAAACATCTTCTTATAAAATCTAGACAGAATCATTCACAGAAACTTCTTTTTGATGTGTGTGTTCAGCTCACCGAGTTTAACCTTTCTTTTGATGGAGCAGTTTGGAAACACTCTGCTTGTAATATCTGCAAGTGGATATTTGGACCTCTTTGAGGCCTTCGTTGGGAACGGGATTTCTTCAAGCAATGTTCGACAGAAGAATTCTCAGTAACTTATTTGTGGTGTGTGTATTCAACTCACAGAGTTGAACCTTCCTTTAGACAGAGCAGATTTGAAACACCCTATTTGTGCAGTTTCCAGTTGGAGATTTCAATCGCTTTGAGACCAAATGTAGAAAAGGAAACATCTTCGTATAAAAACTAGACAGAATCATTCTCAGAAACTACTTTGTGATGTGTGCATTCAACTCACGGAGTTTAAGCTTTCTTTTCATAGAGTAGTTTGGAAACACTCTGTCTGTAAAGTCTGCAAGCAGATATTTGGACCTCTTTGAGGCCTTCGTTGGAAACGGGATTTCTTCATAGAACGCTGGAAAGAAGAATACTGAGTAAGTTCTTTGTGTTGCCTCTATTCAACTCACAGAGGTGAACTGTCCTTTAGACAGAGCAGATGTGAAACCCTCTTTTTGTGATATTTGCAGGTGGAGATTTCAAGCGCTTTTAGGCCAAATGTAGAAAAGGAAATATCTTCGTATAAAAACTAGACAGAATCATTCTCAGAAACTACTTTGTGATATGTGCGTTCAATTCACAGAGTATAACCTTTCTTTTGATGGAGGAGTTTGGAGACACTGTCTTTGTAAAGTCTGCAAGTGGATATTTGGACCTCTTTGAGGCCTTCGTTGGAAACGGGATTTCCTCATATAATGTTACACAGAAGAATTCTCAGTAACTTATTTGTGGTGTGTGTATTCAACTCACAGAGTTGAACCTTCCTTCAGAAAGAGCAGATTTGAAACACTCTTTTTGTGGAGTTTCCATGTGGAGATTTCAATCGCTTTGAGACCAAAGGTAGAAAAGGAAACATCTTCGTATAAAAACTAGACAGAATCATTCACAGAAACTACTTTGTGATGTGTGTGTTCAACTCAAGGAGTTTAACCTTTCTTTTGATGGAGCAGTTTGGAAACACTCTGTCTGTAAAGTCTGCAAGCAGATATTTGGACCTCTTTGAGGGCTTCGTTGGAAACGGGATTTCTTCATATAATGTTTGATAGGAGAAGTCTCAGTAACTTCTTTGTGCTGTGTGTATTCAACGCATAGAGTTGAACTTTCCTTTAGAAGAGCAGATGTTAAACACCCTTTTTGTGGAATTTGCAGCTGGAGATTTCCAGCGTTTTGAGGCCTACGGTAGAAAAGGAAACATCTTTTTATAAAATCTAGACAGAATCATTCACAGAAACTTCTTTTTGATGTGTGTGTTCAGCTCACAGAGTTTAACCTTTCTGTTGATGGAGCAGTTTGGAAACACTCGGTTTGTAATGTCTGCAAGTGGATATTTGGACCTCTTTGAGGCCTTCGTTGGAAACGGGATTTCTTCAAGTAATGTTTGACAGAGTAATTCTCAGTAACTTATTTGTGGTGTGTGTATTCAACTCACAGAGTTGAACCTTCCTTTAGACAGAGCAGATTTGAAACACCCTATTTGTGCAGTTTCCAGTTGGAGATTTCAATCGCTTTGAGACCAAATGTAGAAAAGGAAACATCTTCGTATAAAAACTAGACAGAATCATTCTCAGAAACTACTTTGTGATGTGTGCGTTCAACTCAAGGAGTTTAAGCTTTCTTTTCATAGAGTAGTTTGGAAACACTCTGTCTGTAAAGTCTGCAAGCAGATATTTGACCTCTTTGAGGCCTTCGTTGGAAACGGGATTTCTTCATAGAACGCTAGAAAGAAGAATACTGAGTAAGTTCTTTGTGTTGCCTCTATTCAACTCACAGAGGTGAACTGTCCTTTAGACAGAGCAGATGTGAAACCCTCTTTTTGTGATATTTGCAGGTGGAGATTTCAAGCGCTTTTAGGCCAAATGTAGAAAAAGAAATATCTTTGTATAAAAACTAGACAGAGGCATTCCCAGAAACTACTTTGTGATGTGTGCGTTCAATTCACAGAGTATAACCTTTCTTTTGATGGAGGAGTTTGGAGACACTGTCTTTGTAAAGTCTGCAAGTGGATATTTGGACCTCTTTGAGGCCTTCGTTGGAAACGGGATTTCCTCATATAATGTTACACAGAAGAATTCTCAGTAACTTATTTGTGGTGTGTGTATTCAACTCACAGAGTTGAACCTTCCTTCAGAAAGAGCAGATTTGAAACACTCTTTTTGTGGAGTTTCCATGTGGAGATTTCAATCGCTTTGAGACCAAAGGTAGAAAAGGAAACATCTTCGTATAAAAACTAGACAGAATCATTCACAGAAACTACTTTGTGATGTGTGTGTTCAACTCAAGGAGTTTAACCTTTCTTTTGATGGAGCAGTTTGGAAACACTCTGTCTGTAAAGTCTGCAAGCAGATATTTGGACCTCTTTGAGGCCTTCGTTGGAAACGGGATTTCTTCATATAATGTTTGATTGGAGAAGTCTCAGTAACTTCTTTCTGCTGTGTTTATTTAACTCATAGAGTTGAACTTTCCTTTAGAAGAGCAGATGTTAAACACCCTTTTTGTGGAATTTGCAGCTGGAGATTTCAAGCGCTTTGTGGCCTACGGTAGAAAAGGAAACATCTTCTTATAAAATCTAGACAGAATCATTCACAGAAACTTCTTTTTGATGTGTGTTCAGCTCACAGAGTTTAACCTTTCTTTTGATGGAGCAGTTTGGAAACACACTGTTTGTAATGTCTGCAAGTGGATATTTGGACCTTTTTGAGGCCTTCGTTGGAAACGGGATTTCTTCATGTAATGTTCGACAGAAGAATTCTCAGTAACTTATTTGTGGTGTGTGTATTCAACTCACAGAGTTGAACCTTCCTTTAGAAAGAGCAGATTTGAAACACCCTATTTGTGCAGTTTCCAGTTGGAGATTTCAATCGCTTTGAGACCAAATGTAGAAAAGGAAACATCTTCGTATAAAAACTAGACAGAATCATTCTCAGAAACTACTTTGTGATGTGTGCGTTCAACTCAAGGAGTTTAAGCTTTCTTTTCATAGAGTAGTTTGGAAACACTCTGTCTGTAAAGTCTGCAAGCAGATATTTGGACCTCTTTGAGACCTTCGTTGGAAACGGGATTTCTTCATATAACGCTAGAAAGAAGAATACTGAGTAAGTTCTTTGTGTTGCCTCTATTCAACTCACAGAGGTGAACTGTCCTTTAGACAGAGCAGATGTGAAACCCTCTTTTTGTGATATTTGCACGTGGAGATTTCAAGCGCTTTTTGGCCAAATGTAGAAAAGGAAATATCTTCGTATAAAAACTAGACAGAATCATTCTCAGAAACTACTTTGTGATGTGTGCGTTCAATTCACAGAGTATAACCTTTCTTTTGATGGAGGAGTTTGGAGACACTGTCTTTGTAAAGTCTGCAAGTGGATATTTGGACCTCTTTGAGGCCTTCGTTGGATACGGGATTTCCTCACATAATGTTACACAGAAGAATTCTCAGTAACTTATTTGTGGTGTGTGTATTCAACTCACAGAGTTGAACCTTCCTTCAGAAAGAGCAGATTTGAAACACTCTTTTTGTGGAGTTTCCATGTGGAGATTTCAATCGCTTAGAGACCAAAGGTAGAAAAGGAAACATCTTCGTATAAAAACTAGACAGAATCATTCACAGAAACTACTTTGTGATGTGTGTGTTCAACTCAAGGAGTTTAACCTTTCTTTTGATGGAGCAGTTTGGAAACACTCTGTCTGTAAAGTCTGCAAGCAGATATTTGGACCTCTTTGAGGCCTTCGTTGGAAACGGGATTTCTTCATATAATGTTTGATAGGAGAAGTCTCAGTAACTTCTTTGTGCTGTGTATTCAACTCATAGAGTTGAACTTTCCTTTAGAAGAGCAGATGTTAAACACCCTTTTTGTGGAATTTGCAGCCGGAGATTTCAAGCGCTTTGAGGCCTACGGTAGAAAAGGAAACATCTTCTTATAAAATCTAGACAGAATCATTCACAGAAACTTCTTTTTGATGTGTGTGTTCAGCTCACAGAGTTTAACCTTTCTTTTGATGGAGCAGTTTGGAAACACTCGGTTTGTAATGTCTGCAAGTGGATATTTGGACCTCTTTGAGGCCTTCGTTGGAAACGGGATTTCTTCATGTAATGTTCGACAGAAGATTCTCAGTAACTTATTTGTGGTGTGTGTATTCAACTCACAGAGTTGAACCTTCCTTTAGACAGAGCAGATTTGAAACACCCTATTTGTGCAGTTTCCAGTTGGAGATTTCAATCGCTTTGAGACCAAATGTAGAAAAGGAAACATCTTCGTATAAAAACTAGACAGAATCATTCTCAGAAACTACTTTGTGATGTGTGCGTTCAACTCAAGGAGTTTAAGCTTTCTTTTCATAGAGTAGTTTGGAAACACTCTGTCTGTAAAGTCTGCAAGCAGATATTTGGACCTCTTTGGGGCCTTCGTTGGAAACGGGATTTCTTCATAGAACGCTAGAAAGAAGAATACTGAGTAAGTTCTTTGTGTTGCCTCTATTCAACTCACAGAGGTGAACTGTCCTTTAGACAGAGCAGATGTGAAACCCTCTTTTTGTGGTATTTGCAGGTGGAGATTTCAAGCGCTTTTAGGCCAAATGTAGAAAAGGAAATATCTTCGTATAAAAACTAGACAGAATCATTCTCAGAAACTACTTTGTGATGTGTGCGTTCAATTCACAGAGTATAACCTTTCTTTTGATGGAGGAGTTTGGAGACACTGTCTTTGTAAAGTCTGCAAGTGGATATTTGGACCTCTTTGAGGCCTTCGTTGGAAACGGGATTTCCTCATATAATTTACACAGAAGAATTCTCAGTAACTTATTTGTGGTGTGTGTATTCAACTCACAGAGATGAACCTTCCTTAAGAAAAAGCAGATTTGAAACACTCTTTTTGTGGAGTTTCCATGTGGAGATTTCAATCGCTTTGAGACCAAAGGTAGAAAAGGAAACATCTTCGTATAACAACTAGACAGAATCATTCACAGAAACTACTTTGTGATGTGTGTGTTCAACTCAAGGAGTTTAACCTTTCTTTTGATGGAGCAGTTTGGAAACACTCTGTCTGTAAAGTCTGCAAGCAGATATTTGGACCTCTTTGAGGCCTTCGTTGGAAACGGGATTTCTTCATATAATGTTTGATAGGAGAAGTCTCAGTAACTTCTTTGTGCTGTGTGTATTCAACTCATAGAGTTGAACTTTCCTTTAGAAGAGCAGATGTTAAACACCCTTTTTGTGGAATTTGCAGCTGGAGATTTCAAGCGCTTTGAGGCCTACGGTAGAAAAGGAAACATCTTCTTATAAAATCTAGACAGAATCATTCACAGAAACTTCTTTTCGATGTGTGTGTTCAGCTCACAGAGTTTAACCTTTCTTTTGATGGAGCAGTTTGGAAACACTCTGTTTGTAATGTCTGCAAGTGGATATTTGGACCTCCTTTGAGGCCTTCGTTGGAAACGGGATTTCCTCAAGTAATGTTCGACAGAAGAATTCTCAGTAACTTATTTGTGGTGTGTGTATTCAACTCACAGATTTGAACCTTCCTTTAGACAGAGCAGATTTGAAACACCCTGTTTGTGCAGTTTCCAGTTGCAGATTTCAATCGCTTTGAAGCCAATCGTAGAAACGGAAATATCTTCGTATAAAAACAAGACAGAATCATTCTCAGAAACTACTTTGTGATGTGTGCGTTCAACTCAAGGAGTTTAAGCTTTCTTTTCATAGAGTAGTTTGGAAACACTCTGTCTGTAAAGTCTGCAAGCAGATATTTGAGCTCTTTGAGGCCTTCGTTGGAAACGGGATTTCTTCATAGAACGCTAGAAAGAAGAATACTGAGTAAGTTCTTTGTGTTGCCTCTATTCAACTCACAGAGGTGAACTGTCCTTTAGACAGAGCAGATGTGAAACCCTCTTTTTGTGATATTTGCAGGTGGAGATTTCAAGCGCTTTGAGGCCAAATGTAGAAAAGGAAATATCTTCGTATAAAAACTAGACAGAATCATTCTCAGAAACTACTTTGTGATGTGTGCCTTCATTTCACAGAGTATAACCTTTCTTTTGATGGAGGAGTTTGGAGACACTGTCTTTGTAAAGTCTGCAAGTGGATATTTGGACCTCTTTGAGGCCTTCGTTGGAAACGGGATTTCCTCATATAATATTACACAGAAGAATTCTCAGTAACTTATTTGTGGTGTGTGTATTCAACTCACAGAGTTGAACCTTCCTTCAGAAAGAGCAGATTTGAAACACTCTTTTTGTGGAGTTTCCATGTGGAGATTTCAATCGCTTTGAGACCAAAGGTAGAAAAGGAAACATCTTCGTATAAAAACTAGACAGAATCATTCACAGAAACTACTTTGTGATGTGTGTGTTCAACTCAAGGAGTTTAACCTTTCTTTTGATGGAGCAGTTTGGAAACACTCTGTCTGTAAAGTCTGCAAGCAGATATTTGGACCTCTTTGAGGCCTTCGTTGGAAACGGGATTTCTTCATATAATGTTTGATAGGAGAAGTCTCAGTAACTTCTTTGTGCTGTGTGTATTCAACTCGTAGAGTTGAACTTTCCTTTAGAAGAGCAGATGTTAAACACCCTTTTTGTGGAATTTGCAGCTGGAGATTTCAAGCGCTTTGAGGCCTACGGTAGAAAAGGAAACATCTTCTTATAAAATCTAGACAGAATCATTCACAGAAACTTCTTTTTGATGTGTGTGTTCAGCTCACAGAGTTTAACCTTTCTTTTGATGGAGCAGTTGGGAAACACACTGTTTGTAATGTCTGCAAGTGGATATTTGGAGCTCTTTGAGGCCTTCGTTGGAAACGGGATTTCTTCCTGTAATGTTCGACAGAAGAATTCTCAGTAACTTATTTGTGGTGTGTGTATTCAACTCACAGAGTTGAACCTTCCTTTAGACAGAGCAGATTTGAAACAGCCTATTTGTGCAGTTTCCAGTTGGAGATTTCAATCGCTTTGAGACCAAACGTAGAAAAGGAAACATCTTCGTATAAAAACTAGACAGAATCATTCTCAGAAACTACTTTGTGATGTGTGCGTTCAACTCAAGGAGTTTAAGCTTTCTTTTCATAGAGTAGTTTGGAAACACTCTGTCTGTAAAGTCTGCAAGCAGATATTTGGACCTCTTTGAGGCCTTCGTTGGAAACGGGATTTCTTCATAGATCGCTAGAAAGAAGAATACTGAGTAAGTTCTTTGTGTTGCCTCTATTCAACTCACAGAGGTGAACTGTCCTTTAGACAGAGCAGATGTGAAACCCTCTTTTTGTGATATTTGCAGGTGGAGATTTCAAGCGCTTTTAGGCCAAATGTAGTAAAGGAAATATCTTCGTATAAAAACTGGACAGAATCATTCTCAGAAACTACTTTGTGATGTGTGCGTTCAATTCACAGAGTATAACCTTTCTTTTGATGGAGGAGTTTGGAGACACTGTCTTTGTAAGGTCTGCAAGCAGATATTTGGACCTCTTTGGGGCCTTCGTTGGAAACGGGATTTCTTCATAGAATGCTAGAAAGAAGAATACTGAGTAAGTTCTTTGTGTTGCCTCTATTCAACTCACAGAGGTGAACTGTCCTTTAGACAGAGCAGATGTGAAACCCTCTTTTTGTGATATTTGCAGGTGGAGATTTCAAGCGCTTTTAGGCCAAATGTAGAAAAGGAAATATCTTCGTATAAAAACTAGACAGAATCATTCTCAGAAACTACTTTGTGATGTGTGCGTTCAATTCACAGAGTATAACCTTTCTTTTGATGGAGAAGTTTGGAGACACTGTGTGTGTAAAGTCTGCAAGTGGATATTTGGACCTCTTTGAGGCCTTCGTTGGAAACGGGATTTACTCATATAATGTTACACAGAAGAATTCTCAGTAACTTATTTGTGGTGTGTGTATTCAACTCACAGAGTTGAACCTTCCTTCAGAAAGAGCAGATTTGAAACACTCTTTTTGTGGAGTTTCCATGTGGAGATTTCAATCGCTTTGAGACCAAAGGTAGAAAAGGAAACATCTTCGTATAAAAACTAGACAGAATCATTCACAGAAACTACTTTGTGATGTGTGTGTTCAACTCAAGGAGTTTAACCTTTCTTTTGATGGAGCAGTTTGGAAACACTCTGTCTGTAAAGTCTGCAAGCAGATATTTGGACCTCTTTGAGGCCTTCGTTGGAAACGGGATTTCTTCATATAATGTTTGATAGGAGAAGTCTCAGTAACTTCTTTGTGCTGTGTGTATTCAACTCATAGAGTTGAACTTTCCTTTAGAAGAGCAGATGTTAAACACCCTTTTTGTGGAATTTGCAGCTGGAGATTTCAAGCGCTTTGAGTCCTACGGTAGAAATGGAAACATCTTATAAAATCTTGACAGAATCATTCACAGAAACATCTTTTTGATGTGTGTGTTCAGCTCACAGGGTTTAACCTTTCTTTTGATGGAGCAGTTTGGAAACACTCTGTTTGTAATGTCTGCAAGTGGATATTTGGACCTCTTTGAGGTCTTCGTTGGAAACGGGATTTCTTCATGTAATGTTCGACAGAAGAATTCTCAGTAACTTATTTGTGGTGTGTGTATTCAACTCACAGAGTTGAACCTTCCTTTAGACAGAGCAGATTTGAAACAGCCTATTTGTGCAGTTTCCAGTTGGAGATTTCAATCGCTTTGAGACCAAATGTAGAAAAGGAAACATCTTCGTATAAAAACTAGACAGAATCATTCTCAGAAACTACTTTGTGATGTGTGCGTTCAACTCAAGAAGTTTAAGCTTTCTTTTCATAGAGTAGTTTGGAAACACTCTGTCTGTAAAGTCTGCAAGCAGATATTTGGACCTGCTTTGGGGCCTTCGTTGGAAACGTGATTTCTTCATAGAACGCTAGAAAGAAGAATACTGAGTAAGTTCCTTGTGTTGCCTCTATTCAACTCACAGCAGGTGAACTGTCCTTTAGACAGAGCAGATGTGAAACCCTCTTTTTGTGATATTTGCAGGTGGAGATTTCAAGCGCTTTTAGGCCAAATGTAGAAAAGGAAATATCTTCGTATAAAAACTAGGCAGAATCATTCTCAGAAACTACTTTGTGATGTGTGCGTTCAATTCACAGAGTATAACCTTTCTTTTGATGGAGGAGTTTGGAGACACTGTCTTTGTAAAGTCTTCAAGTGGATATTTGGACCTCTTTGAGGCCTTCGTTGGAAACGGGATGTGTTCATGTAATGTTCGACAGAAGAATTCTCAGTAACTTATTTTTGGTGTGTGTATTCAACTCACAGAGATGAACCTTCCTTCAGAAAGAGCAGATTTGAAACACTCTTTTTGTGGAGTTTCCATGTGGAGATTTCAATCGCTTTGAGACCAAAGGTAGAAAAGGAAACATCTTCGTATAACAACTAGACAGAATCATTCACAGAAACTACTTTGTGATGTGTGTGTTCAACTCAAGGAGTTTAACCTTTCTTTTGATGGAGCAGTTTGGAAACACTCTGTCTGTAAAGTCTGCAAGCAGATATTTGGACCTCTTTGAGGCCTTCGTTGGAAACGGGATTTCTTCATATAATGTTTGATAGGAGAAGTCTCAGTAACTTCTTTGTGCTGTGTGTATTCAACTCATAGAGTTGAACTTTCCTTTAGAAGAGCAGATGTTAAACACCCTTTTTGTGGAATTTGCAGCTGGAGATTTCAAGCGCTTTGAGGCCTACGGTAGAAAAGGAAACATCTTCTTATAAAATCTAGACAGAATCATTCACAGAAACTTCTTTTTGATGTGTGTGTTCAGCTCACAGAGTTTAACCTTTCTTTTGATGGAGCAGTTGGGAAACACACTGTTTGTAATGTCTGCAAGTGGATATTTGGACCTCTTTGAGGCCTTCGTTGGAAACGGGATTTCTTCCTGTAATGTTCGACAGAAGAATTCTCAGTAACTTATTTGTGGTGTGTGTATTCAACTCACAGAGTTGAACCTTCCTTTAGACAGAGCAGATTTGAAACACCCTATTTGTGCAGTTTCCAGTTGGAGATTTCAATCGCTTTGAGACCAAATGTAGAAAAGGAAACATCTTCGTATAAAAACTAGACAGAATCATTCTCAGAAACTACTTTGTGATGTGTGCGTTCAACTCAAGGAGTTTAAGCTTTCTTTTCATAGAGTAGTTTGGAAACACTCTGTCTGTAAAGTCTGCAAGCAGATATTTGGACCTCTTTGGGGCCTTCGTTGGAAACGGGATTTCTTCATAGAACGCTAGAAAGAAGAATACTGAGTAAGTTCTTTGTGTTGCCTCTATTCAACTCACAGAGGTGAACTGTCCTTTAGACAGAGCAGATGTGAAACCCTCTTTTTGTGATATTTGCAGGTGGAGATTTCAAGCGCTTTTAGGCCAAATGTAGAAAAGGAAATATCTTCGTATAAAAACTAGACAGAATCATTCTCAGAAACTACTTTGTGATGTGTGCGTTCAATTCACAGAGTATAACCTTTCTTTTGATGGAGGAGTTTGGAGACACTGTCTTTGTAAAGTCTGCAAGTGGATATTTGGACCTCTTTGAGGCCTTCGTTGGAAACGGGATTTCCTCATATAATGTTACACAGAAGAATTCTCAGTAACTTATTTGTGGTGTGTGTATTCAACTCACAGAGTTGAACCTTCCTTCCGAAAGAGCAGATTTGAAACACTCTTTTTGTGGAGTTTCCATGTGGAGATTTCAATCGCTTTGAGACCAAAGGTAGAAAAGGAAACATCTTCGTATAACAACTAGACAGAATCATTCACAGAAACTACTTTGTGATGTGTGTGTTCAACTCAAGGAGTTTAACCTTTCTTTTGATGGAGCAGTTTGGAAACACTCTGTCTGTAAAGTCTGCAAGCAGATATTTGGACCTCTTTGAGGCCTTCGTTGGAAACGGGATTTCTTCATATAATGTTTGATAGGAGAAGTCTCAGTAACTTCTTTGTGCTGTGTGTATTCAACTCATAGAGTTGAACTTTCCTTTAGAAGAGCAGATGTTAAACACCCTTTTTGTGGAATTTGCAGCTGGAGATTACAAGCGCTTTGAGGCCTACGGTAGAAAAGGAAACATCTTCTTATAAAATCTAGACAGAATCATTCACAGAAACTTCTTTTTGATGTGTGTGTTCAGCTCACAGAGTTTAACCTTTCTTTTGATGGAGCAGTTTGGAAACACTCTGTTTGTAATGTCTGCAAGTGGATATTTGGACCTCTTTGAGGCCTTCTTTGGAAACGGGATTTCTTCAAGTAATGTTCGACAGAAGAATTCTCAGTAACTTATTTGTGGTGTGTGTATTCAACTCACAGAGTTGAACCTTCCTTTAGACAGAGCAGATTTGAAACACCCTATTTGTGCAGTTTCCAGTTGGAGATTTCAATCGCTTTGAGACCAAATGTAGAAAAGGAAACATCTTCGTATAAAAACTAGACAGAATCATTCTCAGAAACTACTTTGTGATGTGTGCGTTCAACTCAAGGAGTTTAAGCTTTCTTTTCATAGAGTAGTTTGGAAACACTCTGTCTGTAAAGTCTGCAAGCAGATATTTGGACCTCTTTGGGGCCTTCGTTGGAAACGGGATTTCTTCATAGAACGCTAGAAAGAAGAATACTGAGTAAGTTCTTTGTGTTGCCTCTATTCAACTCACAGAGGTGAACTGTCCTTTAGACAGAGCAGATGTGAAACCCTCTTTTTGTGATATTTGCAGGTGGAGATTTCAAGCGCTTTTAGGCCAAATGTAGAAAAGGAAATATCTTCGTATAAAAACTAGACAGAATCATTCTCAGAAACTACTTTGTGATGTGTGCGTTCAATTCACAGAGTATAACCTTTCTTTTGATGGAGGAGTTTGGAGACACTGTCTTTGTAAAGTCTGCAAGTGGATATTTGGATCTCTTTGAGGCCTTCGTTGGAAACGGGATTTCCTCATATAATGTTACACAGAAGAATTCTCAGTAACTTATTTGTGGTGTGTGTATTCAACTCACAGAGTTGAACCTTCCTTCAGAAAGAGCAGATTTGAAACACTCTTTTTGTGGAGTTTCCATGTGGAGATTTCAATCGCTTTGAGACCAAAGGTAGAAAAGGAAACATCTTCGTATAAAAACTAGACAGAATCATTCACAGAAACTACTTTGTGATGTGTGTGTTCAACTCAAGGAGTTTAACCTTTCTTTTGATGGAGCAGTTTGGAAACACTCTGTCTGTAAAGTCTGCAAGCAGATATTTGGACCTCTTTGAGGCCTTCGTTGGAAACGGGATTTCTTCATATAATGTTTGATAGGAGAAGTCTCAGTAACTTCTTTATGCTGTGTGTATTCAACTCATAGAGTTGAACTTTCCTTTAGAAGAGCAGATGTTAAACACCCTTTTTGTGGAATTTGCAGCTGGAGATTTCAAGCGCTTTGAGGCCTACGGTAGAAAAGGAAACATCTTCTTATAAAATCTAGACAGAATCATTCACAGAAACTTCTTTTTGATGTGTGTGTTCAGCTCACAGCAGTTTAACCTTTCTTTTGATGGAGCAGTTTGGAAACACTCTGTTTGTAATGTCTGCAAGTGGATATTTGGACCTCTTTGAGGCCTTCGTTGGAAACGGGATTTCTTCAAGTAATGTTCGACAGAAGAATTCTCAGTAACTTATTTGTGGTGTGTGTATTCAACTCACAGAGTTGAACCTTCCTTTAGACAGAGCAGATTTGAAACACCCTATTTGTGCAGTTTCCAGTTGGAGATTTCAATCGCTTTGAGACCAAATGTAGAAAAGGAAACATCTTCGTATAACAACTAGACAGAATCATTCTCAGAAACTACTTAGTGATGTGTGCGTTCAACTCAAGGAGTTTAAGCTTTCTTTTCGTAGAGTAGTTTGGAAACACTCTGTCTGTAAAGTCTGCAAGCAGATATTTGGACCTCTTTGAGGCCTTCGTTGGAAACGGGATTTCTTCTTGTAACGCTAGAAAGAAGAATACTCAGTAACTTCTTTGTGCTGCCTCTATTCAACTCACAGAGGTGAACTGTCCTTTAGACAGAGCAGATGTGAAACCCTCTTTTTGTGATATTTGCAGGTGGAGATTTCAAGCGCTTTTAGGCCAAATGTAGAAAAGGAAATATCTTCGTATAAAAACTAGACAGAATCATTCTCAGAAACTACTTTGTGATGTGTGCGTTCAATTCACAGAGGATAACCTTTCTTTTGATGGAGGAGTTTGGAGACACTGTCTTTGTAAAGTCTGCAAGTGGATATTTGGACCTCTTTGAGGCCTTCGTTGGAAACGGGATTTCCTCCTATAATGTTACACAGAAGAATTCTCAGTAACTTATTTGTGGTGTGTGTATTCAACTCACAGAGTTGAACCTTCCTTCAGAAAGAGCAGATTTGAAACACTCTTTTTGTGGAGTTTCCATGTGGAGATTTCAATCGCATTGAGACCAAAGGTAGAAAAGGAAACATCTTCGTATAAAAACTAGACAGAATCATTCACAGAAACTACTTTGTGATGTGTGTGTTCAACTCAAGGGAGTTTAACCTTTCTTTTGATGGAGCAGTTTGGAAACACTCTGTCTGTAAAGTCTGCAAGCAGATATTTGGACCTCTTTGAGGCCTTCGTTGGAAACGGGATTTCTTCATATAATGTTTGATAGGAGAAGTCTCAGTAACTTCTTTGTGCTGTGTGTATTCAACTCATAGAGTTGAACTTTCCTTTAGAAGAGCAGATGTTAAACACCCTTTTTGTGGAATTTCCAGCTGGAGATTTCAAGCGCTTTGAGGGCTAAGGTAGAAAAGGAAACATCTTCTTATAAAATCTAGACAGAATCATTCACAGAAACTTCTTTTTGATGTGTGTGTTCAGCTCACAGAGTTTAACCTTTCTTTTGATGGAGCAGTTGGGAAACACACTGTTTGTAATGTCTGCAAGTGGATATTTGGACCTCTTTGAGGCCTTCGTTGGAAACGGGATTTCTTCCTGTAATGTTCGACAGAAGAATTCTCAGTAACTTATTTGTGGTGTGTGTATTCAACTCACAGAGTTGAACCTTCCTTTAGACAGAGCAGATTTGAAACACCCTATTTGTGCAGTTTCCAGTTGGAGATTTCAATCGCTTTGAGACCAAATGTAGAAAAGGAAACATCTTCGTATAAAAACTAGACAGAATCATTCTCAGAAACTACTTTGTGATGTGTGCGTTCAACTCAAGGAGTTTAAGCTTTCTTTTCATAGAGTAGTTTGGAAACACTCTGTCTGTAAAGTCTGCAAGCAGATATTTGGACCTCTTTGGGGCCTTCGTTGGAAACGGGATTTCTTCATAGAACGCTAGAAAGAAGAATACTGAGTAAGTTCTTTTTGTTGCCTCTATTCAACTCACAGAGGTGAACTGTCCTTTAGACAGAGCAGATGTGAAACCCTCTTTTTGTGATATTTGCAGGTGGAGATTTCAAGCACTTTTAGGCCAAATGTAGAAAAGGAAACATCTTCGTATAAAAACTAGACAGAATCGTTCTCAGAAACTACTTTGTGATGTGTGCGTTCAATTCACAGAGTATAACCTTTCTTTTGATGGAGGAGTTTGGAGACACTGTCTTTGTAAAGTCTGCAAGTGGATATTTGGACCTCTTTGAGGCCTTCGTTGGAAACGGGATTTCCTCATATAATGTTACACAGAAGAATTCTCAGTAACTTATTTGTGGTGTGTGTATTCAACTCACAGAGTTGAACCTTCCTTCAGAAAGAGCAGATTTGAAACACTCTTTTTGTGGAGTTTCCATGTGGAGATTTCAATCGCATTGAGACCAAAGGTAGAAAAGGAAACATCTTCGTATAAAAACTAGACAGAATCATTCACAGAAACTACTTTGTGATGTGTGTGTTCAACTCAAGGAGTTTAACCTTTCTTTTGATGGAGCAGTTTGGAAACACTCTGTCTGTAAAGTCTGCAAGCAGATATTTGGACCTCTTTGAGGCCTTCGTTGGAAACGGGATTTCTTCATATAATGTTTGATAGGAGAAGTCTCAGTAACTTCTTTGTGCTGTGTGTATTCAACTCATAGAGTTGAACTTTCCTTTAGAAGAGCAGATGTTAAACACCCTTTTTGTGGAATTTGCACCTAGAGATTTCAAGCGCTTTGAGGCCTACGGTAGAAAAGGAAACATCTTCTAATAAAATCTAGACAGAATCATTCACAGAAACTTCTTTTTGATGTGTGTGTTCAGCTCACAGAGTTTAACCTTTCTTTTGATGGAGCAGTTTGGAAACACTCTGTTTGTAATGTCTGTAAGAGGATATTTGGACCTCTTTGAGGCCTTAGTTGGAAACGGGATTTCTTCAAGTAATTTTCGACAGAAGAATTCTCAGTAACTTATTTGTGGTGTGTGTATTCAACTCACAGAGTTGAACCTTCCTTTAGACAGAGCAGATTTGAAACACCCTATTTGTGCAGTTTCCAGTTGGAGATTTCAATCGCTTTGAGACCAAATGTAGAAAAGGAAACATCTTCGTATAAAAACTAGACAGAATCATTCTCAGAAACTACTTTGTGATGTGTGCGTTCAACTCAAGGAGTTTAAGCTTTCTTTTCATAGAGTAGTTTGGAAACACTCTGTCTGTAAAGTCTGCAAGCAGATATTTGACCTCTTTGAGGCCTTCGTTGGAAACGGGATTTCTTCAAGTAATGTTCGACAGAAGAATACTGAGTAAGTTCTTTGTGTTGCCTCTATTCAACTCACAGAGGTGAACTGTCCTTTAGACAGAGCAGATGTGAAACCCTCTTTTTGTGATATTTGCAGGTGGAGATTTCAAGCGCTTTTAGGCCAAATGTAGAAAAGGAAATATCTTCGTATAAAAACTAGACAGAATCATTCTCAGAAACTACTTTGTGATGTGTGCGTTCAATTCACAGAGTATAACCTTTCTTTTGATGGAGGAGTTTGGAGACACTGTCTTTGTAAAGTCTGCAAGTGGATATTTGGACCTCTTTGAGGCCTTCGTTGGAAACGGGATTTCCTCATATAATGTTACACAGAAGAATTCTCAGTAACTTATTTGTGGTGTGTGTATTCAACTCACAGAGTTGAACCTTCCTTCAGAAAGAGAAGATTTGAAACACTCTTTTTGTGGAGTTTCCATGTGGAGATTTCAATCGCATTGAGACCAAAGGTAGAAAAGGAAACATCTTCGTATAAAAACTAGAAAGAATCATTCACAGAAACTACTTTGTGATGTGTGTGTTCAACTCAAGGAGTTTAACCTTTCTTTTGATGGAGCAGTTTGGAAACACTCTGTCTGTAAAGTCTGCAAGCAGATATTTGGACCTCTTTGAGGCCTTCGTTGGAAACGGGATTTCTTCATGTAATGTTTGATAGGAGAAGTCTCAGTAACTTCTTTGTGCTGTGTGTATTCAACTCATAGAGTTGAACTTTCCTTTAGAAGAGCAGACGTTAAACACCCTTTTTGTGGAATTTGCAGCTGGAGATTTCAAGCGCTTTGAGGCCTACGGTAGAAAAGGAAACATCTTCTTATAAAATCTAGACAGAATCATTCACAGAAACTTCTTTTTGATGTGTATGTTCAGCTCACAGAGTTTAACCTTTCTTTTGATGGAGCAGTTTGGAAACACTCTGTTTGTAATGTCTGCAAGTGGATATTTGGACCTCTTTGAGGCCTTCGTTGGAAACGGGATTTCTTCATGTAATGTTCGACAGAAGAATTCTCAGTAACTTATTTGTGGTGTGTGTATTCAACTCACAGAGTTGAACCTTCCTTTAGACAGAGCAGATTTGAAACACCCTATTTGTGCAGTTTCCAGTTGGAGATTTCAATCGCTTTGAGACCAAATGTAGAAAAGGAAACATCTTCGTATAAAAACTAGACAGAATCATTCTCAGAAACTACTTTGTGATGTGTGCATTCAACTCAAGGAGTTTAAGCTTTCTTTTCATAGAGTAGTTTGGAAACACTCTGTCTGTAAAGTCTGCAAGCAGATATTTCGACCTCTTTGAGGCCTTCGTTGGAAACGGGATTTCTTCATAGAATGCTAGAAAGAAGAATACTGAGTAAGTTCTTTGTGTTGCCTCTATTCAACTCACAGAGGTGAACTGTCCTTTAGACAGAGCAGATGTGAAACCCTCTTTTTGTGATATTTGCAGGTGGAGATTTCAAGCGCTTTTAGGCCAAATGTAGAAAAGGAAATATCTTCGTATAAAAACTAGACAGAATCATTCTCAGAAACTACTTTGTGATGTGTGCGTTCAATTCACAGAGTATAACCTTTCTTTTGATGGAGGAGTTTGGAGACACTGTCTTTGTAAAGTCTGCAAGTGGATATTTGGACCTCTTTGAGACCTTCGTTGGAAACGGGATTTCCTCATATAATGTTACACAGAAGAATTCTCAGTAACTTATTTGTGGTGTGTGTATTCAACTCACAGAGTTGAACCTTCCTTCAGAAAGAGCAGATTTGAAACACTCTTTTTCTGGAGTTTCCATGTGGAGATTTCAATCGCATTGAGACCAAAGGTAGAAAAGGAAACATCTTCGTATAAAAACTAGACAGAATCATTCACAGAAACTACTTTGTGATGTGTGTGTTCAACTCAAGGAGGTTAACCTTTCTTTTGACGGAGCAGTTTGGAAACACTCTGTCTGTAAAGTCTGCGAACAGATATTTGGACCTCTTTGAGGCCTTCGTTGGAAACGGGGTTTCTTCATATAACGCTAGAAAGAAGAAGTCTCAGTAACTTCTTTGTGCTGTGTGTATTGAACTCATAGAGTTGAACTTTCCTTTAGAAGAGCAGATGTTAAACACCCTTTTTGTGGAATTTGCAGCTGGAGATTTCAAGCGCTTTGAGGCCTACGGTAGAAAAGGAAACATCTTCTTATAAAATCTAGACAGAATCATTCACAGAAACTTCTTTTTGATGTGTGTGTTCAGCTCACAGAGTTTAACCTTTCTTTTGATGGAGCAGTTTGGAAACACACTGTTTGTAATGTCTGCAAGTGGAGGTTTGGACCTCTTTGAGGCCTTCGTTGGAAACGGGATTTCTTCAAGTAATGTTCGACAGAAGAATTCTCAGTAACTTATTTGTGGTGTGTGTATTCAACTCACAGAGTTGAACCTTCCTTTAGACAGAGCAGATTTGAGACACCCTATTTGTGCAGTTTCCAGTTGGAGATTTCAATCGCTTTGAGACCAAATGTAGAAAAGGAAACATCTTCGTATAAAAACTAGACAGAATCATTCTCAGAAACTACTTTTTCATGTGTGCGTTCAACTCAAGGAGTTTAAGCTTTCTTTTCATAGAGTAGTTTGGAAACACTCTGTCTGTAAAGTCTGCAAGCAGATATTTGGACCTCTTTGAGGCCTTCGTTGGAAACGGGATTTCTTCATAGAACGCTAGAAAGAAGAATACTGAGTAAGTTCTTTGTGTTGCCTCTATTCAACTCACAGAGGTGAACTGTCCTTTAGACAGAGCAGATGTGAAACCCTCTTTTTGTGATATTTGCAGGTGGAGATTTCAAGCACTTTTAGGCCAAATGTAGAAAAGGAAATATCTTCGTATAAAAACTAGACAGAATCATTCTCAGAAACTACTTTGTGATGTGTGCGTTCAATTCACAGAGTATAACCTTTCTTTTGATGGAGGAGTTTGGAGACACTGTCTTTGTAAAGTCTGCAAGTGGATATTTGGATCTCTTCGAGGCCTTCGTTGGAAACGGGATTTCCTCATATAATGTTACACAGAAGAATTCTCAGTAACTTATTTGTGGTGTGTGTATTCAACTCACAGAGATGAAGCTTCCTTCAGAAAGAGCAGATTTGAAACACTCTTTTTGTGGAGTTTCCATGTGGAGATTTCAATCGCTTTGAGACCAAAGGTAGAAAAGGAAACATCTTCGTATAACAACTAGACAGAATCATTCACAGAAACTACTTTGTGATGTGTGTGTTCAACTCAAGGAGTTTAACCTTTCTTTTGGTGGAGGAGTTTGGAAACACTCTGTCTGTAAAGTCTGCAAGCAGATATTTGGACCTCTTTGAGGCCTTCGTTGGAAACGGGATTTCTTCATATAATGTTTGATAGGAGAAGTCTCAGTAACGTCTTTGTGCTGTGTGTATTCAACTCATAGAGTTGAACTTTCCTTTAGAAGAGCAGATGTTAAGCACCCTTTTTGTGGAATTTGCAGCTGGAGATTTCAAGCGCTTTGAGGCCTACGGTAGAAAAGGAAACATCTTCTTATAAAATCTAGACAGAATCATTCACAGAAACTTCTTTTTGATGTGTGTGTTCAGCTCACAGAGTTTAACCTTTGTTTTGAGGGAGCAGTTTGGAAACACACTGTTTGTAGTGTCTGCAAGTGGATATTTGGACCTCTTTGAGGCGTTCGTTGGAAACGGGATTTCTTCATGTAATGTTCGACAGAAGAATTCTCAGTAACTTATTTGTGGTGTGTGTATTCAACTCACAGAGTTGAACCTTCCTTTAGACAGAGCAGATTTGAAACAGCCTATTTGTGCAGTTTCCAGTTGGAGATTTCAATCGCTTTGAGACCAAACGTAGAAAAGGAAACATCTTCGTATAAAAACTAGACAGAATCATTCTCAGAAACTACTTTGTGATGTGTGCGTTCAACTCAAGGAGTTTAAGCTTTCTTTTCATAGAGTAGTTTGGAAACACTCTGTCTGTAAAGTCTGCAAGCAGATATTTGGACCTCTTTGAGGCCTTCGTTGGAAACGGGATTTCTTCATAGAACGCTAGAAAGAAGAATACTGAGTAAGTTCTTTGTGTTGCCTCTATTCAACTCACAGAGGTGAACTGTCCTTCAGACAGAGCAGATGTGAAACCCTCTTTTTGTGATATTTGCAGGTGGAGATTTCAAGCGCTTTTAGGCCAAATGTAGAAAAGGAAATATCTTCGTATAAAAACTAGACAGAATCATTCTCAGAAACTACTTTGTGATGTGTGCGTTCAATTCACAGAGTATAACCTTTCTTTTGATGGAGGAGTTTCGAGACACTGTCTTTTTAAAGTCTGCAAGTGGATATTTGGACCTCTTTGAGGCCTTCGTTGGAAACGGGATTTCCTCATATAATGTTACACAGAAGAATTCTCAGTAACTTATTTGTGGTGTGTGTATTCAACTCACAGAGTTGAACCTTCCTTCAGAAAGAGCAGATTTGAAACACTCTTTTTGTGGAGTTTCCATGTGGAGATTTCAATCGCTTTGAGACCAAAGGTAGAAAAGGAAACATCTTCGTATAAAAACTAGACAGAATCATTCACAGAAACTACTTTGTGATGTGTGTGTTCAACTCAAGGAGTTTAACCTTTCTTTTGATGGAGGAGTTTGGAAACACTCTGTCTGTAAAGTCTGCAAGCAGATATTTGGACCTCTTTGAGGCCTTCGTTGGAAACGGGATTTCTTCATATAATGTTTGATAGGAGAAGTCTCAGTAACTTCTTTCTGCTGTGTTTATTCAACGCATAGAGTTGAACTTTCCTTTAGAAGAGCAGATGTTAAACACCATTTTTGTAGAATTTGCAGCTGGAGATTTCAAGCGCTTTGAGGCCTACGGTAGAAAAGGAAACATCTTCTTATAAAATCTAGACAGAATCATTCACAGAAACTTCTTTTTGATGTGTGTGTTCAGCTCACAGAGTTTAACCTTTCTTTTGATGGAGCAGTTTGGAAACACTCTGTTTGTAATGTCTGCAAGTGGATATTTGGACGTCTTTGAGGCCTTCGTTGGAAACGGGATTTCTTCATGTAATGTTCGACAGAAGAATTCTCAGTAACTTATTTGTGGTGTGTGTATTCAACTCACAGAGTTGAACCTTCCTTTAGACAGAGCAGATGTGAAACACCCTATTTGTGCAGTTTCCAGTTGGAGATTTCAATCGCTTTGAGGCCAATCATAGAAACGGAAATATCTTCGTATAAAAACAAGACAGAATCATTCTCCGAAACTACTTTGTGATGTGTGCGTTCAACTCAAGGTAGTTTAAGCTTTCTTTTCATAGAGTAGTTTGGAAACACTCTGTCTGTAAAGTCTGCAAGCAGATATTTGGACCTCTTTGGGGTCTTCGTTGGAAACGGGATTTCTTCATAGAACGCTAGAAAGAAGAATACTGAGTAAGTTCTTTGTGTTGCCTCTATTCAACTCACAGAGGTGAACTGTCCTTTAGACAGAGCAGATGTGAAACCCTCTTTTTGTGATACTTGCAGGTGGAGATTTCAAGCGCTTTTAGGCCAAATGTAGAAAAGGAAATATCTTCGTATAAAAACTAGACAGAATCATTCTCAGAAACTACTTTGTGATGTGTGCGTTCAATTCACAGAGTATAACCTTTGTTTTGATGGAGGAGTTTGGAGACACTGTCTTTGTAAAGTCTGCAAGTGGATATTTGGACCTCTTTGAGGCCTTCGTTGGAAACGGGATTTCCTCATATAATGTTACACAGAAGAATTCTCAGTAACTTATTTGTGGTGTGTGTATTCAACTCACAGAGATGAACCTTCCTTCAGAAAGAGCAGATTTGAAACACTCTTTTTGTGGAGTTTCCATGTGGAGATTTCAATCGCTTTGAGACCAAAGGTAGAAAAGGAAACATCTTCGTATAAAAACTAGACAGAATCATTCACAGAAACTACCTTGTGATGTGTGTGTTCAACTCAAGGAGTTTAACCTTTCTTTTGATGGAGCAGTTTGGAAACACTCTGTCTGTAAGGTCTGCAAGCAGATATTTGGACCTCTTTGAGTCCTTCGTTGGAAACGGGATTTCTTCATATAATGTTTGATAGGGAGAAGTCTCAGTAACTTCTTTGTGCTGTGTGTATTCAACTCATAGAGTTGAACTTTCCTTTAGAAGAGCAGATGTTAAACACCCTTTTTGAGGAATTTGCAGCTGGAGATTTCAAGCGCTTTGAGGCCTACGGTAGAAAAGGAAACATCTTCTTATAAAATCTAGACAGATCATTTACAGAAACTTCTTTTTGATGTGTGTGTTCAGCTCACAGAGTTTAACCTTTCTTTTGATGGAGCAGTTTGGAAACACTCTGTTTGTAATGTCTGCAAGTGGATATTTGGACCTCTTTGAGGCCTTCGTTGGAAACGGGATTTCTTCAAGTAATGTTCGACAGAAGAATTCTCAGTAACTTATTTGTGGTGTGTGTATTCAACTCACAGAGCTGACCCTTCCTTTAGACAGAGCAGATTTGAAACAGCCTATTTGTGCAGTTTCCAGTTGGAGATTTCAATCGCTTTGAGACCAAATGTAGAAAAGGAAACATCTTCGTATAAAAACTAGACAGAATCATTCTCAGAAACTACTTTGTGATGTGTGCGTTCAACTCAAGGAGTTTAAGCTTTCTTTTCATAGAGTAGTTTGGAAACACTCTGTCTGTAAAGTCTGCAAGCAGATATTTGACCTCTTTGAGGCCTTCGTTGGAAACGGGATTTCTTCATAGAACGCTAGAAAGAAGAATACTGAGTAAGTTCTTTGTGTTGCCTCTATTCAACTCACAGAGGTGAACTGTCCTTTAGACAGAGCAGATGTGAAACCCTCTTTTTGTGATATTTGCACGTGGAGATTTCAAGCGCTTTTAGGCCAAATGTAGAAAAGGAAATATCTTCGTATAAAAACTAGACAGAAGCATTCTCAGAAACTACTTTGTGATGTGTGCGTTCAATTCACAGAGTATAACCTTTCTTTTGATGGAGGAGTTTGGAGACACTGTCTTTGTAAAGTCTGCAAGTGGATATTTGGACCTCTTTGAGGCCTTCGTTGGAAACGGGATTTCCTCATATAATGTTACACAGAAGAATTCTCAGTAACTTATTTGTGGTGTGTGTATTCAACTCACAAGAGTTGAACCTTCCTTCAGAAAGAGCAGATTTGAAACACTCTTTTTGTGGAGTTTCCATGTGGAGATTTCAATCGCTTTGAGACCAAAGGTAGAAAAGGAAACATCTTCGTATAAAAACTAGACAGAATCATTCACAGAAACTACTTTGTGATGTGTGTGTTCAACTCAAGGAGTTTAACCTTTCTTTTGATGGAGCAGTTTGGAAACACTCTGTCTGTAAAGTCTGCAAGCAGATATTTGGACCTCTTTGAGGCCTTCGTTGGAAACGGGATTTCTTCATATAATGTTTGATAGGAGAAGTCTCAGTAACTTCTTTGTGCTGTGTGTATTCAACTCATAGAGTTGAACTTTCCTTTAGAAGAGCAGATGTTAAACACCCTTTTTGTGGAATTTGCAGCTGGAGATTTCAAGCGCTTTGAGGCCTACGGTAGAAAAGGAAACATCTTCTTATAAAATCTAGACAGAATCATTCACAGAAACGTCTTTTTGATGTGTGTGTTCAGCTCACAGAGTTTAACCTTTCTTTTGATGGAGCAGTTGGGAAACACACTGTTTGTAATGTCCGCAAGTGGATATTTGGACCTCTTTGAGGCCTTCGTTGGAAACGGGAATTCTTCCTGTAATGTTCGACAGAAGAATTCTCAGTAAGTTATTTGTGGTGTGTGTATTCCACTCACAGAGTTGAACCTTCCTTTAGACAGAGCAGATTTGAAACACCCTATTTGTGCAGTTTCCAGTTGGAGATTTCAATCGCTTGGAGGCCAATCATAGAAACGGAAATATCTTTGTATAAAAACAAGACAGAATCATTCTCAGAAACTACTTTGTGATGTGTGCGTTCAACTCAAGGAGTTTAAGCTTTCTTTTCATAGAGTAGTTTGGAAACACTCTGTCTGTAAAGTCTGCAAGCCGATATTTGGACCTCTTTGAGGCCTTCGTTGGAAACGTGATTTCTTCATGTAACGCTAGAAAGAAGAATACTGAGTAAGTTCTTTGTGTTGCCTCTATTCAACTCACAGAGGTGAACTGTCCTTCAGACAGAGCAGATGTGAAACCCTCCTTTGTGATATTTGCAGGTGGAGATTTCAAGCGCTTTTAGGCCAAATGTAGAAAAGGAAATATCTTCGTATAAAAACTAGACAGAAATCATTCTCAGAAACTACTTTGTGATGTGTGCGTTCAATTCACAGAGTATAACCTTTCTTTTGATGGAGGAGTTTGGAGACACTGTCTTTGTAAAGTCTGCAAGCAGATATTTGGACCTCTTTGGGGCCTTCGTTGGAAACGGGATTTCTTCATAGAATGCTAGAAAGAAGAATTCTCAGTAACTTATTTGTGGTGTGTGTATTCAACTCACAGAGATGAACCTTCCTTCAGAAAGAGCAGATTTGAAACACTCTTTTTGTGGAGTTTCCATGTGGAGATTTCAATCGCTTTGAGACCAAAGGTAGAAAAGGAAACATCTTCGTATAACAACTAGACAGAATCATTCACAGAAACTACTTTGTGATGTGTGTGTTCAACTCAAGGAGTTTAACCTTTCTTTTGATGGAGCAGTTTGGAAAAACTCTGTCTGTAAAGTCTGCAAGCAGATATTTGGACCTCTTTGAGGCCTTCGTTGGAAACGGGATTTCTTCATATAATGTTTGATAGGAGAAGTCTCAGTAACTTCTTTATGCTGTGTGTATTCAACTCATAGAGTTGAACTTTCCTTTAGAAGAGCAGATGTTAAACACCCTTTTTGTGGAATTTGCAGCTGGAGATTTCAAGCGCTTTGAGGCCTACGGTAGAAAAGGAAACATCTTCTTATAAAATCTAGACAGAATCATTCACAGAATCTTCTTTTTGATGTGTGTGTTCAGCTCACAGAGTTTAACCTTTCTTTTGATGGAGCAGTTTGGAAACACTCTGTTTGTAATGTCTGCAAGTGGATATTTGGACGTCTTTGAGGCCTTAGTTGGAAACGGGATTTCTTCAAGTAATGTTCGACAGAAGAATTCTCAGTAACTTATTTGTGGTGTGTGTATTCAACTCACAGAGTTGAACCTTCTTTAGACAGAGCAGATTTGAAACACCCTATTTCTGCAGTTTCCAGTTGGAGATTTCAATCGCTTTGAGACCAAATGTAGAAAAGGAAACATCTTCGTATAAAAACTAGACAGAATCATTCTCAGAAACTACTTTGTGATGTGTGCGTTCAACTCAAGGAGTTTAAGCTTTCTTTTCATAGAGTAGTTTGGAAACACTCTGTCTGTAAAGTCTGCAAGCAGATATTTGGACCTCTTTGGGGCCTTCGTTGGAAACGGGATTTCTTCATAGAACGCTAGAAAGAAGAATACTCAGTAACTTCTTTGTGTTGCATCTGTTCAGCTCACAGAGGTGAACTGTCTTTAGACAGAGCAGATGTGAAACCCTCTTTTTGTGATATTTGCAGGTGGAGATTTCAAGCGCTTTTAGGCCAAATGTAGAAAAGGAAATATCTTCGTATAAAAACTAGACAGAATCATTCTCAGAAACTACTTTGTGATGTGTGCGTTCAATTGACAGAGTATAACCTTTCTTTTGATGGAGGAGTTTGGAGACACTGTCTTTGTAAAATCTGCAAGTGGATATTTGGACCTCTTTGAGGCCTTCGTTGGAAACGGGATTTCCTCATATAATGTTACACAGAAGAATTCTCAGTAACTTATTTGTGGTGTGTGTATTCAACTCACAGATTTGAAACTTCCTTCAGAAAGAGCAGATTTGAAACACTCTTTTTGTGGAGTTTCCATGTGGAGATTTCAATCGCTTTGAGACCAAAGGTAGAAAAGGAAACATCTTTGTATAAAAACTAGACAGAATCATTCACAGAAACTACTTTGTGATGTGTGTGTTCAACTCAAGGAGTTTAACCTTTCTTTTGATGGAGCAGTGTGGAAAAACTCTGACTGTAAAGTCTGCAAGCAGATATTTGGACCTCTTTGAGGCCTTCGTTGGAAACGGGATTTCTTCATATAATGTTTGATAGGAGAAGTCTCAGTAACTTCTTTGTGCTGTGTGTATTCAACTCATAGTGTTGAACATTCCTTTAGAAGAGCAGATGTTAAACACCCTTTTTGTGGAATTTGCAGCTGGAGATTTCAAGCGCTTTGAGGCCTACGGTAGAAAAGGAAACATCTTCTTATAAAATCTAGACAGAATCATTCACAGAAACTTCTTTTTGATGTGTGTGTTCAGCTCACAGAGTTTAACCTTTCCTTTGATGGAGCAGTTTAGAAACACTCTGTTTGTAATGTCTGCAAGTGGATATTTGGACCTCTTTGAGGCCTTCGTTGGAAACGGGATTTCTTCATGTAATGTTCGACAGAAGAATTCTCAGTAACTTATTTGTGGTGTGTGTATTCAACTCACAGAGTTGAACCTTCCTTTAGACAGAGCAGATTTGAAACAACCTATTTGTGCAGTTTGCACTTGGAGATTTCAATCGCTTTGAGACCAAATGTAGAAAAGGAAACATCTTCGTATAAAAACTAGATACAATCATTCTCAGAAACTACTTTGTGATGTGTGCGTTTAACTCAAGGAGTTTAAGCTTTCTTTTCATAGAGTAGTTTGGAAACACTCTGTCTGTAAATTCTGCAAGGAGATATTTGGACCTCTTTGAGGCCTTCTTTGGAAACGGGATTTCTTCATATAACGCTAGAAAGAAGAATACTGAGTAAGTTCTTTGTGTTGCCTCTATTCAACTCACAGAGGTGAACTGTCCTTTAGACAGAGCAGATGTGAAACCCTCTTTTTGTGATATTTGCAGGTGGAGATTTCAAGCGCTTTTAGGCCAAATGTAGAAAAGGAAATATCTTCGTATTAAAACTAGACAGAATCATTCTCAGAAACTACTTTGTGATGTGTGCGTTCAATTCACAGAGTATAACCTTTCTTTTGATGGAGGAGTTTGGAGACACTGTCTTTGTAAAGTCTGCAAGTAGATATTTGGACCTCTTTGAGGCCTTCGTTGGAAACGGGATTTCCTCATATAATGTTACACAGAAGAATTCTCAGTAACTTATTTGTGGTGTGTGTATTCAACTCACAGAGTTGAACCTTCCTTCAGAAAGAGCAGATTTGAAACACTCTTTTTGTGGAGTTTCCAAGTGGAGATTTCAATCGCTTTGAGACCAAAGGTAGAAAAGGAAACATCTTCGTATAAAAACTAGACAGAATCATTCACAGAAACTACTTTGTGATGTGTGTGTTCAACTCAAGGAGTTTAACCTTTCTTTTGGTGGAGCAGTTTGGAAAAACTCTGTCTTTAAAGTCTGCAAGCAGATATTTGGACCTCTTTGAGGCCTTCGTTGGAAACGGGATTTCTTCATATAATGTTTGATAGGAGAAGTCTCAGTAACTTCTTTGTGCTGTGTGTATTCAACTCATAGAGTTGAACTTTCCTTTAGAAGAGCAGATGTTAAACACCCTTTTTGTGGAATTTGCAGCTGGAGATTTCAAGCGCTTTGAGGCCTACGGTAGAAAAGGAAACATCTTCTTATAAAATCTAGACAGAATCATTCACAGAAACTTCTTTTCGATGTGTGTGTTCAGCTGACAGAGTTTAACCTTTCTTTTGATGGAGCAGTTTGGAAACACTCTGTTTGTAATGTCTGCAAGTGGATATTTGGACCTCTTTGAGGCCTTCGTTGGAAACGGGATTTCTTCAAGTAATGTTCGACAGAAGAATTCTCAGTAACTTATTTGTGGTGTGTGTATTCAACTCACAGAGTTGAACCTTCCTTTAGACAGAGCAGATTTGAAACACCCTATTTGTGCAGTTTCCAGTTGGAGATTTCAATCGCTTTGAGACCAAATGTAGAAAAGGAAACATCTTCGTATAAAAACTAGACAGAATCATTCTCAGTAACTACTTTGTGATGTGTGCGTTCAACTCAAGGAGTTTAAGCTTTCTTTTCATAGAGTACTTTGGAAACACTCTGTCTGTAAAGTCTGCAAGCAGATATTTGGACCTCATTGGGGTCTTCGTTGGAAACGGGATTTCTTCATAGAACGCTAGAAAGAAGAATACTGAGTAAGTTCTTTGTGTTGCCTCTATTCAACTCACAGAGGTGAACTGTCCTTTAGACAGAGCAGATGTGAAACCCTCTTTTTGTGATATTTGCAGGTGGAGATTTCAAGCGCTTTTAGGCCAAATGTAGAAAAGGAAATATCTTCGTATAAAAACTAGACAGAATCATTCTCAGAAACTACTTTGTGATGTGTGCGTTCAATTCACAGAGTATAACCTTTCTTTTGATGGAGGAGTTTGGAGACACTGTCTTTGTAAAGTCTGCAAGTGGATTATTTGGACCTCTTTGAGGCCTTCGTTGGAAACGGGATTTCCTCATATAATGTTACACAGAAGAATTCTCAGTAACTTATTTGTGGTGTGTGTATTCAACTCACAGAGTTGAACCTTCCTTCAGAAAGAGCAGGTTTGAAACACACTTTTTGTGGGGTTTCCATGTGGAGATTTCAATCGCATTGAGACCAAAGGTAGAAAAGGAAACATCTTTGTATAAAAACTAGAAAGAATCATTCACAGAAACTACTTTGTGATGTGTGTGTTCAACTCAAGGAGTTTAACCTTTCCTTTCATGGAGCAGTTTGGAAACACTCTGTCTGTGAAGTCTGCAAGCAGATATTTGGACCTCTTTGAGGCCTTCATTGGAAACGGGATTTCTTCATATAATGTTTGATAGGAGAAGTCTCAGTAACTTCTTTGTGCTGTGTGTATTCAACTCATAGAGTTGAACTTTCCTTTAGAAGAGCAGATGTTAAACACCCTTTTTGTGGAATTTGCAGCTGGAGATTTCAAGCGCTTTGAGGCCTACGGTAGAAAAGGAAACATCTTCTTATAAAATCTAGACAGAATCATTCACAGAAACTTCTTTTTGATGTGTGTGTTCAGCTCACAGAGTTTCACCTTTCTGTTGATGGAGCAGTTTGGAAACACTCGGTTTGTAATGTCTGCAAGTGGATATTTGGACCTCTTTGAGGCCTTCGTTGGAAACGGGATTTCTTCAAGTAATGTTCGACAGAAGAATTCTCAGTAACTTATTTGTGGTGTGTGTATTCAACTCACAGAGTTGAACCTTCCTTTAGACAGAGCAGATTTGAAACACCCTATTTGTGCAGTTTCCAGTTGGAGATTTCAATCGCTTTGAGACCAAATGTAGAAAAGGAAACATCTTCGTATAAAAACTAGACAGAATCATTCTCAGAAACTACTTTGTGATGTGTGCGTTCAACTCAAGGAGTTTAAGCTTTCTTTTCATAGAGTAGTTTGGAAACATTCTGTCTGTAAAGTCTGCAGGCAGATATTTGGACCTCTTTGGGCCTTCGTTGGAAACGGGATTTCTTCATAGAACGCCAGAAAGAAGAATACTGAGTAAGTTCTTTGTGTTGCCTCTATTCAACTCACAGAGGTGAACTGTCCTTTAGACAGAGCAGATGTGAAACCCTCTTTTTGTGATATTTGCAGGTGGAGATTTCAAGCGCTTTTAGGCCAAATGTAGAAAAGGAAATATCTTCGTATAAAAACTAGACAGAATCATTCTCAGAAACTACTTTGTGATGTGTGCGTTCAATTCACAGAGTATAACCTTTCTTTTGATGGAGGAGTTTGGAGACACTGTCTTTGTAAAGTCTGCAAGTGGATATTTGGATCTCTTTGAGGCCTTCGTTGGAAACGGGATTTCCTCATATAATGTTACACAGAAGAATTCTCAGTAACTTATTTGTGGTGTGTGTATTCAACTCACAGAGATGAACCTTCCTTCAGAAAGAGCAGATTTGAAACACTCTTTTTGTGGAGTTTCCATGTGGAGATTTCAATCGCTTTGAGACCAAAGGTAGAAAAGGAAACATCTTCGTATAAAAACTAGACAGAATCATTCTCAGAAACTACTTTGTGATGTGTGCGTTCAACTCAAGGAGTTTAAGCTTTCTTTTCATGGAGTAGTTTGGAAACACTCTGTCTGTAAAGTGTGCAAGCAGATATTTGGACCACTTTGGGGCCTTCGTTGGAAACGGGATTTCTTCATAGAACGCTAGAAAGAAGAATACTGAGTAAGTTCTTTGTGTTGCCTCTATTCAACTCACAGAGGTGAACTGTCCTTTAGACAGAGCAGATGTGAAACCCTCTTTTTGTGATATTTGCAGGTGGAGATTTCAAGCGCTTTGAGGCCTACGGTAGAAAAGGAAACATCTTCTTATAAAATCTAGACAGAATCATTCACAGAAACTTCTTTTTGATGTGTGTGTTCAGCTCACAGAGTTTAACCTTTCTTTTGATGGAGCAGTTTGGAAACACTCTGTTTGTAATGTCTGCAAGTGGATATTTGGACCTCTTTGAGGCCTTCGTTGGAAACGGGATTTCTTCAAGTAATGTTCGACAGAAGAATTCTCAGTAACTTATTTGTGGTGTGTGTATTCAACTCACAGAGTTGAACCTTCCTTTAGACAGAGCAGATTTGAAACACCCTATTTGTGCAGTTTCCAGTTGGAGATTTCAATCGCTTTGAGACCAAATGTAGAAAAGGAAACATCTTCGTATAAAAACTGGACAGAATCATTCTCAGAAACTACTTTGTGATGTGTGCGTTCAACTCAAGGAGTTTAAGCTTTCTTTTCATAGAGTAGTTTGGAAACACTCTGTCTGTAAAGTCTGCAAGCAGATATTTGGACCTCTTTGGGGCCTTCGTTGGAAACGGGATTTCTTCATAGAACGCTAGAAAGAAGAATACTGAGTAAGTTCTTTGTGTTGCCTCTATTCAACTCACAGAGGTGAACTGTCCTTTAGACAGAGTAGATGTGAAACCCTCTTTTTGTGATATTTGCAGGTGGAGATTTCAAGCGCTTTTAGGCCAAATGTAGAAAAGGAAATAACTTCGTATAAAAACTAGACAGAATCATTCTCAGAAACTACTTTGTGATGTGTGCGTTCAATTCACAGAGGATAACCTTTCTTTTGATGGAGGAGTTTGGAGACACTGTCTTTGTAAAGTCTGCAAGTGGATATTTGGATCTCTTTGAGGCCTTCGTTGGAAACGGGATTTCCTCATATAATGTTACACAGAAGAATTCTCAGTAACTTATTTGTGGTGTGTGTATTCAACTCACAGAGTTGAACCTTCCTTCAGAAAGAGCAGATTTGAAACACTCTTTTTGTGGAGTTTCCATGTGGACATTTCAAAGGCTTTGAGACCAAAGGTAGAAAAGGAAACATCTTCGTATAAAAACTAGACAGAGTCATTCACAGAAACTACTTTGTGATGTGTGTGTTCAACTCACAGAGTTTAACCTTTCTTTTGATGGAGCAGTTTGGAAACACTCTGTTTGTCACGTCTGCAAGTGGATATATGGACCTCTTTGAGGCCTTCGTTGGAAACGGGATTTCTTCATATAATGATTGATAGGAGAAGTCTCAGTAACTTCTTTGTGCTGTGTGTATTCAACTCATGGAGTTGAACTTTCCTTTAGAAGAGCAGATGTTAAACACCCTTTTTGTGGAATTTGCAGCTGGAGATTTCAAGCGCTTTGAGGCCTACGGTAGAAAAGGAAACATCTTCTTCTAAAATCTAGACAGAATCATTCACAGAAACTTCTTTTTGATGTGTGTGTTCAGCTCACAGAGTTTAACCTTTCTTTTGATGGAGCAGTTTGGAAACACTCTGTTTGTAATGTCTGCAAGTGGATATTTGGACCTCTTTGAGGCCTTCGTTGGAAACGGGATTTCTTCATGTAATGGTCGACAGAAGAATTCTCAGTAACTTATTTGTGGTGTGTGTATTCAACTCACAGAGTTGAACCTTCCTTTACACAGAGCAGATTTGAAACACCCTATTTGTGCAGTTTCCAGTTGGAGATTTCAATCGCTTTGAGACCAAATGTAGAAAAGGAAACATCTTCGTATAAAAACTAGACAGAATCATTCTCAGAAACTACTTTGTGATGTGTGCGTTCAACTCAAGGAGTTTAAGCTTTCTTTTCATAGAGTAGTTTGGAAACACTCTGTCTGTAAAGTCTGCAAGCAGATATTTGGACCTCTTTGAGGCCTTCGTTGGAAACGGGATTTCTTCATAGAACGCTAGAAAGAAGAATACTGAGTAAGTTCTTTGTGTTGCCTCTATTCAACTCACAGAGGTGAACTGTCCTTTAGACAGAGCAGATGTGAAACCCTCTTTTTGTGATATTTGCAGGTGGAGATTTCAAGCACTTTTAGGCCAAATGTAGAAAAGGAAACATCTTCGTATAAAAACTAGACAGAATCCTTCTCAGAAACTACTTTGTGATGTGTGAGTTCAATTCACAGAGTATAACCTTTCTTTTGATGGAGGAGTTTGGAGACACTGTCTTTGTAAAGTCTGCATGTGGATATTGGGACCTCTTTGAGGCCTTCGTTGGAAATGGGATTTCCTCATATAATGTTACACAGAAGAATTCTCAGTAACTTATTTGTGGTGTGTGTATTCAACTCACAGAGATGAACCTTCCTTCAGAAAGAGCAGATTTGAAACACTCTTTTTGTGGGGTTTCCATGTGGAGATTTCAATCGCTTTTAGACCAAAGGTAGAAAAGGAAACATCTTCGTATAAAAACTAGACAGAATCATTCACAGAAACTACTTTGTGATGTGTGTGTTCAACTCAAGGAGGTTAACCTTTCTGTTGATAGAGCAGTTTGGAAACACTCTGTCTGTAAAGTCGGCAAGCAGATATTTGGACCTCTTTGAGGCCTTCGTTGGAAACGGGATTTCTTCATATAATGTTTGATAGGAGAAGTCTCAGTAACTTCTTTGTGCTGTGTGTATTCAACTCATAGAGTTGAACTTTCCTTTAGAAGTGCAGATGTTAAACACCCTTTTTGTGGAATTTGCAGCTGGAGATTTCAAGCGCTTTGAGGCCTACGGTAGAAAAGGAAACATCTTCTTAGAAAATCTAGACAGAATCATTCACAGAAACTTCTTTTTGATGTGTGTGTTCAGCTCACAGAGTTTAACCTTTCTTTTGATGGAGCAGTTTGGAAACACTCTGTTTGTAATGTCTGCAAGTGGATATTTGGACCTCTTTGAGGCCTTCGTTGGAAACGGGATTTCTTCCTGTAATGTTCGACAGAAGAATTCTCAGTAACTTACCTGTAGTGTGTGTATTCAACTCACAGAGTTGAACCTTCCTTTAGACAGAGCAGATTTGAAACACCCTATTTGTGCAGCTTCCAGTTGGAGATTTCAATCGCTTTGAGGCCAATCATAGAAACGGAAATATCTTCGTATAAAAACAAGACAGAATCATTCTCAGAAACTACTTTGCGATCTGTGCGTTCAACTCAAGGAGTTTAAGCTTTCTTTTCATAGAGTAGTTTGGAAACACTCTGTCTGTAAAGTCTGCAAGCAGATATTTGGACCTCTTTGAGGCCTTCGTTGGAAAAGAGATTTCTTCATAGAACGCTAGAAAGAATAATACTGAGTAAGTTCTTTCTGTTGCCTCTATACAACTCACAGAGGTGAACTGTCCTTTAGACAGAGCAGATGTGAAACCCTCTTTTTGTGATATTTGCAGGTGGAGATTTCAAGCGCTTTTAGGCCAAATGTAGAAAACGAAATATCTTCGTATAAAAACTAGACAGAATCATTCTCAGAAACTACTTTGTGATGTGTGCGTTCAATTCACAGAGTATAACCTTTCTTTTGATGGAGGAGTTTGGAGACACTGTCTTTGTAAAGTCTGCAAGCAGATATTTGGACCTCTTTGAGGCCTTCGTTGGAAACGGGATTTCTTCATATAATGTTTGATAGGAGAATTCTCAGTAACTTATTTGTGGTGTGTGTATTCAACTCACAGAGATGAACCTTCCTTCAGAAAGAGCAGATTTGAAACACTCTTTTTGTGGAGTTTCCATGTGGAGATTTCAATCGCTTTGAGACCAAAGGTAGAAAAGGAAACATCTTCGTATAACAACTAGACAGAATCATTCACCGAAACTACTTTGTGATGTGTGTGTTCAACTCAAGAAGTTTAACCTTTCTTTTGATGGAGCAGTTTGGAAACACTCTGTCTGTAAAGCGTGCAAGCAGATATTTGGACCTCTTTGAGGCCTTCGTTGGAAACGGGATTTCTTCATATAATGTTTGATAGGAGAAGTCTCAGTAACTTCTTTGTGCTGTGTGTATTCAACTCATAGAGTTGAACTTTCCTTCAGAAGAGCAGATGTTAAACACCCTTTTTGTGGAATTTGCAGCTGGAGATTTCAAGCGCTTTGAGGCCTACGGTAGAAAAGGAAACATCTTCTTATGAAATCTAGACAGAATCATTCACAGAAACTTCTTTTTGATGTGTGTGTTCAGCTCACAGAGTTTAACCTTTCTTTTGATGGAGCAGTTTGGAAACACTCTGTTTGTAATGTCTACAAGTGGATATTTTGATCTCTTTGAGGCCTTCGTTGGAAACGGGATTTCTTCATGTAATGTTCGACAGAAGAATTCTCAGTAACTTACTTGTGGTGTGTGTATTCAACTCACAGAGTTGAACCCTCCTTTAGACAGAGCAGATTTGAAACAGCCTATTTGTGCAGTTTCCAGTTGGAGATTTCAATCGCTTTGAGACAAATGTAGAAAAGGAAACATCTTCGTATAAAAACTAGACAGAATCATTCTCAGAAACTACTTTGTGATGTGTGCGTTCAACTCAAGGAGTTTAAGCTTTCTTTTCATAGAGTAGTTTGGAAACACTCTGTCTGTAAAGTCTGCAAGCAGATATTTGGACCTCTTTGAGGCCTTCGTTGGAAACGGGATTTCTTCATAGAACGCTATAAAGAAGAATACTCAGTAAGTTCTTTGTGTTGCCTCTATTCAACTCACAGAGGTGAACTGTCCTTTAGACAGAGCAGATGTGAAACCCTCTTTTTGTGATATTTGCAGGTGGAGATTTCAAGCGCTTTTAGGCCAAATGTAGAAAAGGAAATATCTTCGTATAAAAACTAGACAGAATCATTCTCAGAAACTACTTTGTGATGAGTGCTTTCAATTCACAGTGTATAATATTTCTTTTGATGGAGGAGTTTGGAGACACTGTCTTTGTAAAGTCTGCAAGCAGATATTTGGACCTCTTTGGGGCCATCGTTGGAAACGGGATTTCTTCATATAATGTTTGATAGGAAGAATTCTCAGTAACTTATTTGTGGTGTGTGTATTCAACTCACAGAGTTGAACCTTCCTTCAGAAAGAGCAGATTTGAAACACTCTTTTTGTGGAGTTTCCATGTGGAGATTTCAATCGCTTTGAGACCAAAGGTAGAAAAGGAAAAATCTTCGTATAAAAACTAGACAGAATCATTCACAGAAACTACTTTGTGATGTGTGTGTTCAACTCAAGGAGTTTAACCTTTCTCTTGATGGAGCAGTTTGGAAAAACTCTGTCTGTAAAGTCTGCAAGCAGATATTTGGACCTCTTTGAGGCCTTCGTTGGAAACGGGATTTCTTCATATAATGTTTGATAGGAGAAGTCTCAGTAACTTCTTTGTGCTGTGTGTATTCAACTCATAGAGTTGAACTTTCCTTTAGAAGAGCAGATGTTAAACACCCTTTTTGTGGAATTTGCAGCTGGAGATTTCAAGCGCTTTGAGTCCTACGGTAGAAAAGGAAACATCTTCTTATAAAATCTAGACAGAATCATTCACAGAAACTTCTTTTTGATCTGTGTGTCCAGCTCACAGAGTTTAACCTTTCTTTTGATGGAGCAGTTGGGAAACACACTGTTTGTAATGTCTGCAAGTGGATATTTGGACCTCTTTGAGGCCTTCGTTGGAAACGGGATTTCTTCCTGTAATGTTCGACAGAAGAATTCTCAGTAACTTATTTGTGGTGTGTGTATTCAACTCACAGAGTTGAACCTTCCTTTAGACAGAGCAGATTTGAAACACCCTATTTGTGCAGTTTCCAGTTGGAGATTTCAATCGCTTTGAGACCAAATGTAGAAAAGGAAACATCTTCGTATAAAAACTAGACAGAATCATTCTCAGAAACTACTTTGTGATGTGTGCGTTCAACTCAAGGAGTTTAAGCTTTCTTTTCATAGAGTAGTTTGGAAACACTTTGTCTGTAAAGTCTGCAAGCAGATATTTGGACCTCTTTGAGGCCTTCGTTGGAAACGGGATTTCTTCATAGAACGCTAGAAAGAAGAATACTGAGTAAGTTCTTTGTGTTGCCTCTATTCAACTCACAGAGGTGAACTGTCCTTTAGACAGAGCAGATGTGAAACCCTCTTTTTGTGATATTTGCAGGTGGAGATTTCAAGCGCTTTTAGGCCAAATGTAGAAAAGGAAATATCTTCGTATAAAAACTAGACAGAATCATTCTCAGAAACTACTTTGTGATGTGTGCGTTCAATTCACAGAGTATAACCTTTCTTTTGATGGAGGAGTTTGGAGACACTGTCTTTGTAAAGTCTGCAAGTGGATATTTGGACCTCTGTGAGGCCTTCGTTGGAAACGGGATTTCCTCATATAATGTTACACAGAAGAATTCTCAGTAACTTATTTGTGGTGTGTGTATTCAACTCACAGAGTTGAACCTTCCTTCAGAAAGAGCAGATTTGAAACACTCTTTTTGTGGAGTTTCCATGTGGAGATTTCAATCGCTTTGAGACCAAAGGTAGAAAAGGAAACATCTTCGTATAAAAACTAGACAGAATCATTCACAGAAACTACTTTGTGATGTGTGTGTTCAACTCAAGGAGTTTAACCTTTCTTTTGATGGAGCAGTTTGGAAACACTCTGTCTGTAAAGTCTGCAAGCAGATATTTGGACCTCTTTGAGGCCTTCGTTGGAAACGGGATTTCTTCATATAATGTTTGATAGGAGAAGTCTCAGTAACTTCTTTGTGCTGTGTGTATTCAACTCATAGAGTTGAACTTTCCTTTAGAAGAGCAGATGTTAAACACCCTTTTTGTGGAATTTGCAGTTGGAGATTTCAGGCGCTTTGAGGACTACAGTAGAAAAGGAAACATCTTCTTATAAAATCTGGACAGAATAATTCACAGAAACTTCTTTTTGATGTGTGTGTTCAGCTCACCGAGTTTAACCTTTCTTTTGATGGAGCAGTTTGGAAACACTCTGTTTGTAATATCTGCAAGTGGATATTTGGACCTCTTTGGGGCCTTCGTTGGAAACGGGATTTCTTCAAGTAATGTTCGACAGAAGAATACTCAGTAACTTATTTGTGGTGTGTGTATTCAACTCACAGAGTTGAACCTTCCTTTAGACAGAGCAGATTTGAAACACCCTATTTGTGCAGTTTCCAGTTGGAGATTTCAATCGCTTTGAGACCAAATGTAGAAAAGGAAACATCTTCGTATAAAAACTAGACAGAATCATTCTCAGAAACTACTTTGTGATGTGTGCGTTCAACTCAAGGAGTTTAAGCTTTCTTTTCATAGAGTAGTTTGAAAACACTCTGTCTGTAAAGTCTGCAAGCACATATTAGGACCTCATTGGGGTCTTCGTTGGAAACGGGATTTCTTCATAGAACGCTAGAAAGACGAATACTGAGTAAGTTCTTTGTGTTGCCTCTATTCAACTCACAGAGGTGAACAGTCCTTTAGACAGAGCAGATGTGAAACCCTCTTTTTGTGATATTTGCAGGTGGAGATTTCAAGGGCTTTTAGGCCTAATGTAGAAAAGGAAATATCTTCGTATAAAAACTAGACAGAATCATTCTCAGAAACTACTTTGTGATGTGTGCGTTCAATTCACAGAGTATAACCTTTCTTTTGATGGAGGAGTTTGGAGACACTGTCTTTGTAAAGTCTGCAAGTGGATATTTGGACCTCTTTGAGGCCTTCGTTGGAAACGGGATTTCCTCATATAATGTTACACAGAAGAATTCTCAGTAACTTATTTGTGGTGTGTGTATTCAACTCACAGAGTTGAACCTTCCTTCAGAAAGAGCAGATTTGAAACACTCTTTTTGTGGAGTTTCCATGTGGAGATTTCAATGGCTTTGAGACCATAGGTGGAAAAGGAAACATCTTCGTATAGAAAGTAGACAGAATCATTCACAGAAACTACTTTGTGATGTGTGTGTTCAACTCAAGGAGTTTAACCTTTCTTTTGATGGAGCAGTTTGGAAACACTCTGTCTGTAAAGTCTGCAAGCAGATATTTGGACCTCTTTGAGGCCTTCGTTGGAAACGGGATTTCTTCATATAATGTTTGATAGGAGAAGTCTCAGTAACTTCTTTGTCCTGTGTGTATTCAACGCATAGAGTTGAACTTTCCTTTAGAAGAGCAGATGTTAAACACCCTTTTTGTGGAATTTGCAGCTGGAGATTTCAAGCGCTTTGAGGCCTACTGTAGAAAAGGAAACATCTTCTTACAAAATCTAGACAGAATCATTCACAGAAACTTCTTTTTGATGTGTGTGTTCAGCTCACAGAGTTTAACCTTTCTTTTGATGGAGCAGTTTGGAAACACTCTGTTTGTAATGTCTGCAAGTGGATATTTGGACCTCTTTGAGGCCTTCGTTGGAAACGGGATTTCTTCAAGTAATGTTCGACAGAAGAATTCTCAGTAACTTATTTGTGGTGTGTGTATTCAACTCACAAAGTTGAACCTTCCTTTAGACAGAGCAGATTTGAAACACCCTATTTGTGCAGTTTCCAGTTGGAGATTTCAATCGCTTTGAGACCAAATGTAGAAAAGGAAACATCTTCGTATAAAAACTAGACAGAATCATTCTCAGAAACTACTTTGTGATGTGTGCGTTCAACTCAAGGAGTTTAAGCTTTCTTTTCATAGAGTAGTTTGGAAACACTCTGTCTGTAAAGTCTGCAAGCAGATATTTGGACCTCTTTGAGGCCTTCGTTGGAAACGGGATTTCTTCATAGAACGGTAGAAAGAAGAATACTGAGTAAGTTCTTTGTGTTGCCTCTATTCAACTCACAGAGGTGAACTGTCCTTTAGACAGAGCAGATGTGAAACCCTCTTTTTGTGATATTTGCAGGTGGAGATTTCAAGCGCTTTTAGGCCAAATGTAGAAAAGGAAATATCTTCGTATAAAAACTAGACAGAATCATTCTCAGAAACTACTTTGTGATGTGTGCGTTCAATTCACAGAGTATAACCTTTCTTTTGATGGAGGAGTTTGGAGACACTGTCTTTGTAAAGTCTGCAAGTGGATATTTGGACCTCTTTGAGGCCTTCGATGGAAACGGGATTTCCTCATATAATGTTACACAGAAGAATTCTCAGTAACTTATTTGTGGTGTGTGTATTCAACTCACAGAGTTGAACCTTCCTTCAGAAAGAGCAGATTTGAAACACTCTTTTTGAGGAGTTTCCATGTGGAGATTTCAATCGCTTTGAGACCAAAGGTAGAAAAGGAAACATCTTCTTATAAAAACTAGACAGAATCATTCACAGAAACTACTTTGTGATGTGTGTGTTCAACTCAAGGAGTTTAACCTTTCTTTTGATGGAGCAGTTTGGAAACACTCTGTCTGTAAAGTCTGCAAGCAGATATTTGGACCTCTTTGAGGCCTTCGTTGGAAACGGGATTTCTTCATATAATGTTTGATAGGAGAAGTCTCAGTAACTTCTTTGTGCTGTGTGTATTCAACTCATAGAGTTGAACTTTCCTTTAGAAGAGCAGATGTTAAACACCCTTTTTGTGGAATTTGCAGCTGGAGATTTCAAGCCCTTTGAGGCCTACGGTACAAAAGGAAACATCTTCTTATAAAATCTAGACAGAATCATTCACAGAAACTTCTTTTTGATGTGTGTGTTCAGCTCACAGAGTTTAACCTTTCTTTGATGGAGCAGTTTGGAAACACTCTGTTTGTAATGTCTGCAAGTGGATATTTGGACCTCTTTGAGGCCTTCGTTGGAAACGGGATTTCTTCATGTAATGTTCGACAGAAGAATTCTCAGTAACTTATTTGTGGTGTGTGTATTCAACTCACAGAGTTGAACCTTCCCTTAGACAGAGCAGATATGAAACACCCTATTTGTGCAGTTTCCAGTTGGAGATTTCAATCGCTTTGAAGCCATAGAAACGGAAATACCTTTGTATAAAAACAAGACAGAATCATTCTCAGAAACTACTTTGTGATGTGTGCGTTCAACTCAAGGAGTTTAAGCTTTCTTTTCATAGAGTAGTTTGGAAACACTCTGTCTGTAAATTCTGGAAGCAGATATTTGGACCTCTTTGAGGCCTTCGTTGGAAACGGGATTTCTTCATAGAACGCTAGAAAGAAGAATACTGAGTAAGTTCTTTGTGTTGCCTCTATTCAACTCACAGAGGTGAACTGTCCTTTAGACAGAGCAGATGTGAAACCCTCTTTTTGTGATATTTGCAGGTGGAGATTTCAAGCACTTTTAGGCCAAATGTAGAAAAGGAAATATCTTCGTATAAAAACTAGACAGAATCATTCTCAGAAACTACTTTGTGATGTGTGCGTTCAATTCACAGAGTATAACCTTTCTTTTGATGGACGAGTTTGGAGACACTGTCTTTGTAAAGTCTGCAAGTGGATATTTGGACCTCTTTGTGGCCTTCGTTGGAAAGGGGATTTCCTCATATAATGTTACACAGAAGAATTCTCAGTAACTTATTTGTGGTGTGTGTATTCAACTCACAGAGTTGAACCTTCCTTCAGAAAGAGCAGATATGAAACACTCTTTTTGTGGAGTTTCCATGTGGAGATTTCAATCGCTTTGAGACCAAAGGTAGAAAAGGAAACATCTTCGTATAAAAACTAGACAGAATCATTCACAGAAACTACTTTGTGATGTGTGTGTTCAACTCAAGGAGTTTAACCTTTCTTTTGATGGAGCAGTTTGGAAACACTCTGTCTGTAAAGTCTGCAAGCAGATATTTGGACCTCTTTGAGGCCTTCGTTGGAAACGGGATTTCTTCATATAATGTTTGATAGGAGAAGTCTCAGTAACTTCTTTGTGCTGTGTGTATTCAACTCATAGAGTTGAACTTTCCTTTAGAAGAGCAGATGTTAAACACCCTTTTTGTGGAATTTGCAGCTGGAGATTTCAAGCGCTTTGAGGCCTACGGTAGAAAAGGAAACATCTTCTTATAAAATCTAGACAGAATCATTCACAGAAACTTCTTTTTGATGTGTGTGTTCAGCTCACAGAGTTTAACCTTTCTTTTGATGGAGCAGTTTGGAAACACTCTGTTTGTAATGTCTACAAGTGGATATTTGGACCTCTTTGAGGCCTTCGTTGGAAACGGGATTTCTTCATGTAATGTTCGACAGAAGAATTCTCAGTAACTTATTTGTGGTGTGTGTATTCAACTCACAGAGTTGAACCTTCCTTTAGACAGAGCCGATTTGAAACACACTATTTGTGCAGTTTCCAGGTGGAGATTTCAATGGCTTTGAGGCCAATCATAGAAACGGAAATATCTTCGTATAAAAACAAGACAGAATCATTCTCAGAAACTACTTTGTGATGTGTGCGTTCAACTCAAGGAGTTTAAGCTTTCTTTTCATAGAGTAGTTTGGAACCACTCTGTCTGTAATGTCTGCAAGCAGATATTTGGACCTCTTTGAGGCCTTCGTTGGAAACGGGATTTCTTCATATAACGCTAGAAAGAAGAATACTGAGTAAGTTCTTTGTGTTGCCTCTATTCAACTCACAGAGGTGAACTGTCCTTTAGACAGAGCAGATGTGAAACCCTCTTTTTGTGATATTTGCAGGTGGAGATTTCAAGCGCTTTTAGGCCAAATGTAGAAAAGGAAATATCTTCGTATAAAAACTAGACAGAATCATTCTCAGAAACTACTTTGTGATGTGTGCGTTCAATTCACAGAGTATAACCTTTCTTTTGATGGAGGAGTTGGGAGACACTGTCTTTGTAAAGTCTGCAAGTGGATATTTGGATCTCTTTGAGGCCTTCGTTGGAAACGGGATTTCCTCATATAATGTTACACAGAAGAATTCTCAGTAACTTATTTGTGGTGTGTGTATTCAACTCACAGAGTTGAACCTTCCTTCAGAAAGAGCAGATTTGAAACACTCTTTTTGTGGAGTTTCCATGTGGAGATTTCAATCGCTTTGAGACCAAAGGTAGAAAAGGAAACATCTTCGTATAAAAACTAGACAGAATCATTCACAGAAACTACTTTGTGATGTGTGTGTTCAACTCAAGGAGTTTAACCTTTCTTTTGATGGAGGAGTTTGGAAACACTCTGTCTGTAAAGTCTGCAAGCAGATATTTGGACCTCTTTGAGGCCTTCGTTGGAAACGGGATTTCTTCATATAATGTTTGATAGGAGAAGTCTCAGTAACTTCTTTCTGCTGTGTTTATTCAACGCATAGAGTAGAACTTTCCTTTAGAAGAGCAGATGTTAAACACCCTTTTTGTGGAATTTGCAGCTGGAGATTTCAAGCGCTTTGAGGCCTACGGTAGAAAAGGAAACATCTTCTTATAAAATCTAGACAGAATCATTCACAGAAACTACTTTGTGATGTGTGTGTTCAGCTCACAGAGTTTAACCTTTCTTTTGATGGTGCAGTTTGGAAACACTCTGTTTGACAAGTCTGCAAGTGGATATTTGGACCTCTTTTAGGCCTTCGTTGGAAACGGGATTTCTTCATATAATGTTAGACAGAAGAATTCTCAGTAACTTATTTGTGGTGTGTGTATTCAACTCACAGAGTTGAACCTTCCTTTAGACAGAGCAGATTTGAAACACCCTATTTGTGCAGTTTCCAGTTGGAGATTTCAATCGCTTTGAGACCAAATGTAGAAAAGGAAACATCTTCGTATAAAAACTAGACAGAATCATTCTCAGAAACTACTTTGTGATGTGTGCGTTCAACTCAAGAAGTTTAAGCTTTCTTTTCATAGAGTAGTTTGGAAACACTCTGTCTGTAAAGTCTGCAAGCAGATATTTGGACCTCACTGGGGCCTTCGTTGGAAACGTGATTTCTTCATAGAACGCTGGAAAGAAGAATACTGAGTAAGTTCTTTGTGTTGCCTCTACTCAACTCACAGAGGTGAACTGTCCTTTAGACAGAGCAGATGTGAAACCCTCTTTTTGTGATATTTGCAGGTGGAGATTTCAAGCGCTTTTAGGCCAAATGTAGAAAAGGAAATATCTTCGTATAAAAACTAGACAGAATCATTCTCAGAAACTACTTTGTGATGTGTGCGTTCAATTCACAGAGTATAACCTTTCTTTTGATGGAGGAGTTTGGAGACACTGTCTTTGTAAAGTCTGCAAGTGGATATTTGGACCTCTTTGAGGCCTTCGTTGGAAACGGGATTTCCTCATATAATGTTACACAGAAGAATTCTCAGTAACTTATTTGTGTTGTGTGTATTCAACTCACAGAGTTGAACCTTCCTTCAGAAAGAGCATATTTGAAACACTCTTTTTGTGGAGTTTCCATGTGGAGATTTCAATCGCTTTGAGACCAAAGGTAGAAAAGGAAACATCTTCGTATAAAAACTAGACAGAATCATTCACAGAAACTACTTTGTGTTGTGTGTATTCAAGTCACAGACTTTAACCTTTCTTTTGATGGAGCAGTTTGGAAACACTCTGTCTGTAAAGTCTGCAAGCAGATATTTGGACCTCTTTGAGGCCTTCGTTGGAAACGGGATTTCTTCATATAATGTTTGATAGGAGAAGTCTCAGTAACTTCTTTGTGCTGTGTGTATTCAACTCATAGAGTTGAACTTTCCTTTAGAAGAGCAGATGTTAAACACCCTTTTTGTGGAATTTGCAGCTGGAGATTTCAAGCGCTTTGAGGCCTACGGTAGAAAAGGAAACATCTTCTTATAAAATCTAGACAGAAATCATTCACAGTAAACTTCTTTTCGATGTGTGTGTTCAGCTCACAGAGTTTAACCTTTCTTTTGATGGAGCAGTTTGGAAACACTCTGTTTGTAATGTCTGCAAGTGGATATTTGGACCTCTTTGAGGCCTTCGTTGGAAACGGGATTTCTTCAAGTAATGTTCGACAGAAGAATTCTCAGTAACTTATTTGTGGTGTGTGTATTCAACTCACAGAGTTGAACCTTCCTTTAGACAGAGCAGATTTGAAACACCCTATTTGTGCAGTTTCCAGTTGGAGATTTCAATCGCTTTGAGACCAAATGTAGAAAAGGAAACATCTTCGTATAAAAACTAGACAGAATCATTCTCAGAAACTACTTTGTGATGTGTGCGTTCAACTCAAGGAGTTTAAGCTTTCATTTCATAGAGTAGTTTGGAAACACTCTGTCTGTAAAGTCTGCAAGCAGATATTTGGACCTCTTTGGGGCCTTCGTTGGAAACGGGATTTCTTCATAGAACGCTAGAAAGAAGAATACTGAGTAAGTTCTTTGTGTTGCCTCTATTCAACTCACAAAGGTGAACTGTCCTTTAGACAGAGCAGATGTGAAACCCTCTTTCTGTGATATTTGCAGGTGGAGACTTCAAGCGCTTTTAGGCCAAATGTAGAAAAGGAAATATCTTCGTATAAAAACTAGACAGAATCATTCTCAGAAACTACTTTGTGATGTGTGCGTTCAATTCACAGAGTATAACCTTTCTTTTGATGGAGGAGTTTGGAGACACTGTCTTTGTAAAGTCTGCAAGCAGATATTTGGACCTCTTTGAGGCCTTCGTTGGAAACGGGATTTCTTCATATAATGTTTGATAGGAGAACTCTCAGTAACTTATTTGTGGTGTGTGTATTCAACTCACAGAGTTGAACCTTCCTTCAGAAAGAGCAGATTTGAAACACTCTTTTTGTGGAGTTTCCATGTGGAGATTTCAATCGCTTTGAGACCAAAGGTAGAAAAGGAAACATCTTCGTATAAAAACTAGACAGAATCATTCACAGAAACTACTTTGTGATGTGTGTGTTCAACTCAAGGAGTTTAACCTTTCTTTTGATGGAGCAGTTTGGAAACACACTGTCTGTAAAGTCTGCAAGCAGATATTTGGACCTCTTTGAGGCCTTCGTTGGAAACGGGATTTCTTCATATAATGTTTGATAGGAGAAGTCTCAGTAACTTCTTTGTGCTGTGTGTATTCAACTCATAGAGTTGAACTTTCCTTTAGAAGAGCAGATGTTAAACACCCTTTTTGTGGAATTTGCAGCTGGAGATTTCAAGCGCTTTGAGGCCTACGGTAGAAAAGGAAACATCTTCTTATAAAATCTAGACAGAATCATTCACAGAAACTTCTTTTTGATGTGTGTGTTCAGCTCACAGAGTTTAACCTTTCTTTTGATGGAGCAGTTTGGAAACACTCTGTTTGTAATGTCTGCAAGTGGATATTTGGACCTCTTTGAGGCCTTCGTTGGAAACGGGATTTCTTCAAGTAATGTTCGGGAGAAGAATTCTCAGTAACTTATTTGTGGTGTGTGTATTCAACTCACAGAGTTGAACCTTCCTTTAGACAGAGCAGATTTGAAACACCCTATTTGTGCAGTTTCCAGTTGGAGATTTCAATCGCTTTGAGACCAAATGTAGAAAAGGAAACATCTTCGTATAAAAACTAGACAGAATCATTCTCAGAAACTATTTTGTGATGTGTGCGTTCAACTCAAGGAGTTTAAGCTTTCTTTTCATAGAGTAGTGTGGAAACACTCTGTCTGTAAAGTCTGCAAGCAGATGTTTGGACCTCTTTGAGGCCTTCGTTGGAAACGGGATTTCTTCATGTAACGCTAGGAAGAAGAATACTGAGTAAGTTCTTTGTGTTGCCTCTATTCAACTCACAGAGGTGAACTGTCCTTTAGACAGAGCAGATGTGAAACCCTCTTTTTGTGATATTTGCACGTGGAGATTTCAAGCGCTTTTAGGCCAAATGTAGAAAAGGAAATATCTTCGTATAAAAACTAGACAGAATCATTCTCAGAAACTACTTTGTGATGTGTGCGTTCAATTCACAGAGTATAACCTTTCTTTTGATGGAGGAGTTTGGAGACACTGTCTTTGTAAAGTCTGCAAGTGGATATTTGGACCTCTTTGAGGCCTTCGTTGGAAACGGGATTTCCTCATATAATGTTACCCAGAAGAATTCTCAGTAACTTATTTGTGGTGTGTGTATTCAACTCACAGAGATGAACCTTCCTTCAGAAAGAGCAGATTTGAAACACTCTTTTTGTAGAGTTTCCATGTGGAGATTTCAATCGCTTTGAGACCAAAGGTAGAAAAGGAAACATCTTCGTATAACAACTAGACAGAATCATTCACAGAAACTACTTTGGGATGTGTGTGTTCAACTCAAGGAGTTTAACCTTTCTTTTGATGGAGCAGTTTGGAAACACTCTGTCTGTAAAGTCTGCAAGCAGATATTTGGACCTCTTTGAGGCCTTCGTTGGAAACGGGATTTCTTCATATAATGTTTGATAGGAGAAGTCTCAGTAACTTCTTTGTGCTGTGTGTATTCAACTCATAGAGTTGAACTTTCCTTTAGAAGAGCAGATGTTAAACACCCTTTTTGTGGAATTTGCAGCTGGAGATTTCAAGCGCTTTGAGGCCTACGGTAGAAAAGGAAACATCTTCTTATAAAATCTAGACAGAATCATTCACAGAAACTTCTTTTTGATGTGTGTGTTCAGCTCACAGAGTTTAACCTTTCTTTTGATGGAGCAGTTGGGAAACAAACTGTTTGTAATGTCTGCAAGTGGATATTTGGACCTCTTTGAGGCCTTCGTTGGAAACGGGATTTCTTCCTGTAATGTTCGACAGAAGAATTCTCAGTAACTTATTTGTGGTGTGTGTATTCAACTCAAAGAGTTGAACCTTCCTTTAGACAGAGCAGATTTGAAACACCCTATTTGTGCAGTTTCCAGTTGGAGATTTCAATCGCTTTGAGACCAAATGTAGAAAAGGAAACATCTTCGTATAAAAACTAGACAGAATCATTCTCAGAAACTACTTTGTGATGTGTGCGTTCAACTCAAGGAGTTTAAGCTTTCTTTTCATAGAGTAGTTTGGAAACACTCTGTCTGTAAAGTCTGCAAGCAGATATTTGGACCTCATTGGGGCCTTCGTTGGAAACGGGATTTCTTCATAGAACGCTAGAAAGAAGAATACTGAGTAAGTTCTTTGTGTTGCTTCTATTCAACTCACAGAGTTGAACTGTCCTTTAGACAGAGCAGATGTGAAACCCTCTTTTTGTGATATTTGCAGGTGGAGATTTCAAGCGCTTTTAGGCCAAATGTAGAAAAGGAAATATCTTCGTATAAAAACTAGACAGAATCATTCTCAGAAACTACTTTGTGATGTGTGCGTTCAATTCACAGAGTATAACCTTTCTTTTGATGGAGGAGTTTGGAGACACTGTCTTTGTAAAGTCTGCAAGTGGATATTTGGACCTCTTTGAGGCCTTCGTTGGAAACGGGATTTCCTCATATAATGTTACACAGAAGAATTCTCAGTAACTTATTTGTGGTGTGTGTATTCAACTCACAGAGTTGAACCGTCCTTCAGAAAGAGCAGATTTGAAACACTCTTTTGGTGGAGTTTCCATGTGGAGATTTCAATCGCTTTGAGACCAAAGGTAGAAAAGGAAACATCTTCGTATAAAAACTAGACAGAATCATTCACAGAAACTACTTTGTGATGTGTGTGTGCAACTCAAGGAGTTTAACCTTTCTTTTGATGGAGCAGTTTGGAAAAACTCTGTCTGTAAAGTCTGCAAGCAGATATTTGGACCTCTTTGAGGCCTTCGTTGGAAACGGGATTTCTTCATATAATGTTTGATAGGAGAAGTCTCAGTAATTTCTTTGTGTTGTGTGTATTCAACACACAGAGCTGAACTTTACTTTAGACAGAGCAGATGTTAAACACACTTTTTGTGGAATTTGCAGCTGGAGATTTCTAGCGCTTTGAGGCCTATGGTAGAAAAGGAAACATCTTCTTATAAAATCTAGACAGAATCATTCACAGAAACTTCTTTTTGATGTGTGTGTTCATCTCACAGAGTTTAACCTTTCTTTTGATGGAGCAGTTTGCAAACACTGTGTTTGCATTGTCGGCAACTGGATATTTGGACCTCTTTGAGGCCTTCGTTGGAAACGGGATTTCTTCATGTAATGTTCGAGAGAAGAATTCTCAGTAACTTATTTGTGGTGTGTGTATTCAACTCACAGAGTTGAACCTTCCTTTAGACAGAGCAGATTTGAAACACCCTATTTGTGCAGTTTCCAGTTGGAGATTTCATTCGCTTTGAGGCCAATCATAGAAACGGAAATATCTTCCTATAAAAACGAGACAGAATCATTCTCAGAAACTACTTTGTGATGTGTGCGTTCAACTCAAGGAGTTTAAGCTTTCTTTTCATAGAGTAGTTTGGAAACACTCTGTCTGTAAAGTCTGCAAGCAGATATTTGGACCTCTTTGGGGCCTTCGTTGGAAACGGGATTTCTTCATAGAACGCTAGAAAGAAGAATACTGAGTAAGTTCTTTGTGTTGCCTCTACTCAACTCACAGAGGTGAACTGTCCTTTAGACAGAGCAGATGTGAAACCCTCTTTTTGCAGGTGGAGATTTCAAGCGCTTTTAGGCCAAATGTAGAAAAGGAAATATCTTCGTATAAAAACTAGACAGAATCATTCTCAGAAACTACTTTGTGATGTGTGCGTTCAATTCACAGAGTATAACCTTTCTTTTGATGGAGGAGTTTGGAGACACTGTCTTTGTAAAGTCTGCAAGTGGATATTTGGACCTCTTTGTGGCCTTCGTTGGAAACGGGATTTCCTCATATAATGTTACACAGAAGAATTCTCAGTAACTTATTTGTGGTGTGTGTATTCAACTCACAGAGTTGAACCTTCCTTCAGAAAGAGCAGATTTGAAACACTCTTTTTGTGGAGTTTCCATGTGGAGATTTCAATCGCTTTGAGACCAAAGGTAGAAAAGGAAACATCTTCGTATAAAAACTAGACAGAATCATTCACAGAAACTACTTTGTGATGTGTGTGTTCAACTCAAGGAGTTTAACCTTTCTTTTGATGGAGCAGTTTGGAAACACTCTGTCTGTAAAGTCTGCAAGCAGATATTTGGACCTCTTTGAGGCCTTCGTTTGAAACGGGATTTCTTCATATAATGTTTGATAGGAGAAGTCTCAGTAACTTCTTTGTGCTGTGTGTATTCAACTCATAGAGTTGAACTTTCCTTTAGAAGAGCAGATGTTAAACACCCTTTTTGTGGAATTTGCAGCTGGAGATTTCAAGCGCTTTGAGTCCTACGGTAGAAAAGGAAACATCTTCTTATAAAATCTAGACAGAATCATTCACAGAAACTTCTTTTTGATGTGTGTGTTCAGCTCACAGAGTTTAACCTTTCTTTTGATGGAGCAGTTTGGAAACACTCTGTTTGTAATGTCTGCAAGTGGATATTTGGACCTCTTTGAGGCCTTCGTTGGAAACGGGATTTCTTCAAGTAATGTTCGACAGAAGAATTCTCAGTAACTTATTTGTGGTGTGTGTATTCAACTCACAGAGTTGAACCTTCCTTTAGACAGAGCAGATTCGAAACACCCTATTTGTGCAGTTTCCAGTTGGAGATTTCAATCGCTTTGAGACGAAATGTACATCTTCGTATAAAAACTAGACAGAATCATTCTCAGAAACTACTTTGTGATGTGTGCGTTCAACTCAAGGAGTTTAAGCTTTCTTTTCATATAGTAGTTTGGAAACACTCTGTAAAGTCTGCAAGCAGATATTTGGACCTCTTTGAGGCCTTCGTTGGAAAAGGGATTTCTTCATAGAACGCTAGAAAGAAGAATACTGAGTAAGTTCTTTGTGTTGCCTCTATTCAACTCACAGAGGTGAACTGTCCTTTAGACAGAGCAGATGTGAAACCCTCTTTTTGTGATATTTGCAGGTGGAGATTTCAAGCGCTTTTAGGCCAAATGTAGAAAAGGAAATATCTTCGTATAAAAACTAGACAGAATCATTCTCAGAAACTACTTTGTGATGTGTGCGTTCAATTCACAGAGTATAACCTTTCTTTTGATGGAGGAGTTTGGAGACACTGTCTTTGTAAAGTCTGCAAGTGGATATTTGGACCTCTTTGAGGCCTTCGTTGGAAACGGGATTTCCTCATATAATGTTACACAGAAGAATTCTCATTAACTTATTTGTGATGTGTGTATTCAACTCACAGAGTTGAACCTTCCTTCAGAAAGAGCAGATTTGAAACACTCTTTTTGTGGAGTTTCCATGTGGAGATTTCAATCGCTTTGAGACCAAAGGTAGAAAAGGAAACATCTTCGTATAAAAACTAGACAGAATCATTCACAGAAACTACTTTGTGATGTGTGTGTTCAACTCAAGGAGTTTAACCTTTCTTTTGATGGAGCAGTTTGGAAACACTCTGTCTGTAAAGTCTGCAAGCAGATATTTGGACCTCTTTGAGGCCTTCATTGGAAACGGGATTTCTTCATATAATGTATGATAGGAGAAGTCTCAGTAACTTCTTTGTGCTGTGTGTATTCAACTCATAGAGTTGAACTTTCCTTTAGAAGAGCAGATGTTAAACACCCTTTTTGTGGAATTTGCAGCTGGAGATTTCAAGCGCTTTGAGGCCTACGGTAGAAAAGGAAACATCTTCTTATAAAATCTAGACAGAATCATTCACAGAAACTTCTTTTTGATGTGTGTGTTCAGCTCACAGAGTTTAACCTTTCTTTTGATGGAGCAGTTTGGAAACACTCTGTTTGTAATGTCTGCAAGTGGATATTTGGACCTCTTTGAGGCCTTCGTTGGAAACGGGATTTCTTCAAGTAATGTTCGACAGAAGAATTCTCAGTAACTTATTTGTGGTGTGTGTATTCAACTCACAGAGTTGAACCTTCCTTTAGACAGAGCAGATTTGAAACACCCTATTTGTGCAGTTTCCAGTTGGAGATTTCAATCGCTTTGAGACCAAATGTAGAAAAGGAAACATGCTTCGTATAAAAACTAGACAGAATCATTCTCAGAAACTACTTTGTGATGTGTGCGTTCAACTCAAGGAGTTTAAGCTTTCTTTTCATAGAGTAGTTTGGAAACACTCTGTCTGTAAAGTCTGCAAGCAGATATTTGACCTCTTTGAGGCCTTCGTTGGAAACGGGATTTCTTCATAGAACGCTAGAAAGAAGAATACTCAGTAACTTCTTTGTGCTGCCTCTATTCAACTCACAGAGGTGAACTGTCCTTTAGACAGAGCAGATGTGAAACCCTCTTTTTGTGATATTTGCAGGTGGAGATTTCAAGCGCTTTTAGGCCAAATGTAGAAAAGGAAATATCTTCGTATAAAAACTAGACAGAATCATTCTCAGAAACTACTTTGTGATGTGTGCGTTCAATTCACAGAGTATAACCTTTCTTTTGATGGAGGAGTTTGGAGACACTGTCTTTGTAAAGTCTGCAAGTGGATATTTGGACCTCTTTGAGGCCTTCGTTGGAAACGGGATTTCCTCATATAATGTTACACAGAAGAATTCTCAGTAACTTATTTGTGGTGTGTGTATTCAACTCACAGAGTTGAACCTTCCTTCAGAAAGAGCAGATTTGAAACACTCTTTTTGTGGAGTTTCCATGTGGAGATTTCAATCGCTTTGAGACCAAAGGTAGAAAAGGAAACATCTTCGTATAAAAACTAGACAGAATCATTCACAGAAACTACTTTGTGATGTGTGTGTTCAACTCAAGGAGTTTAACCTTTCTTTTGATGGAGCAGTTTGGAAAAACTCTGTCTGTAAAGTCTGCAAGCAGATATTTGGACCTCTTTGGGGCCTTCGTTGGAAACGGGATTTCTTCATAGAATGCTAGAAAGAAGAAGTCTCAGTAACTTCTTTGTGCTGTGTGTATTCAACTCATAGAGTTGAACTTTCCTTTAGAAGAGCAGATGTTAAACACCCTTTTTGTGGAATTTGCAGCTGGAGATTTCAAGCGCTTTGAGGCCTACGGTAGAAAAGGAAACATCTTCTTATAAAATCTAGACAGAATCATTCACAGAAACTTCTTTTTGATGTGTGTGTTCATCTCACAGAGTTTAACCTTTCTTTTCACGGAGCAGTTTGGAAAAACTGTGTTTGCCATGTCGGCAAGTGGATATTTGGACCTCTTGAGGCCTTCGTTGGAAACGGGATTTCTTCATGTAATGTTCGACAGAAGAATTCTCAGTAACTTATTTGTGGTGTGTGCATTCAACTCACAGAGTTGAACCTTCCTTTAGACAGAGCAGATTTGAAACACCCTATTTGTGCAGTTTCCAGTTGGAGATTTCAATCGCTTTGAGGCCAATCATAGAAACGGAAATATCTTCGTAAAAAAACAAGACAGAATCATTCTCAGAAACTACTTTGTGATGTGTGCGTTCAACTCACGGAGTTTAAGCTCTCTTTTCATAGAGTAGTTTGGAAACACTCTGTCTGTAAAGTCTGCAAGCAGATATTTGGACCTCTTTGAGGCCTTCGTTGGAAACGGGATTTCTTCATATAACGCTAGAAAGAAGAATACTCACTAACTTCTTTGTGTTGCCTCTATTCAACTCACAGAGGTGAACTGTCCTTTAGACAGAGCAGATGTGAAACCCTCTTTTTGTGATATTTGCAGGTGGAGATTTCAAGCACTTTTAGGCCAAATGTAGAAAAGGAAATATCTTCGTATAAAAACTAGACAGAATCATTCTCAGAAACTACTTTGTGATGTGTGCGTTCAATTCACAGAGTATAACCTTTCTTTTGATGGAGGAGTTTGGAGACACTGTCTTTGTAAAGTCTGCAAGTGGATATTTGGACCTCTTTGAGGCCTTCGTTGGAAACGGGATTTCCTCATATAATGTTACACAGAAGAATTCTCAGTAACTTATTTGTGGTGTGTGTATTCAACTCACAGAGTTGAACCTTCCTTCAGAAAGAGCAGATTTGAAACACTCTTTTTGTGGAGTTTCCATGTGGAGATTTCAATCGCTTTGAGACCAAAGGTAGAAAAGGAAACATCTTCGTATAAAAACTAGACAGAATCATTCACAGAAACTACTTTGTGATGTGTGTGTTCAACTCAAGGAGTTTAACCTTTCTTTTGATGGAGCAGTTTGGAAACACTCTGTCTGTAAAGTCTGCAAGCAGATATTTGGACCTCTTTGAGGCCTTCGTTGGAAACGGGATTTCTTCATATAATGTTTGATAGGAGAAGTCTCAGTAACTTCTTTGTGCTGTGTGTATTGAACTCATAGAGTTGAACTTTCCTTTAGAAGAGCAGATGTTAAACACCCTTTTTGTGGAATTTGCAGCTGGAGATTTCAAGCGCTTTGAGGCCTACGGTAGAAAAGGAAACATCTTCTTATAAAATCTAGACAGAATCATTCACAGAAACTTCTTTTTGATGTGTGTGTTCAGCTCACAGAGTTTAACCTTTCTTTTGATGGAGCAGTTGGGAAACACACTGTTTGTAATGTCTGCAAGTGGATATTTGGACCTCTTTGAGGCCTCCGTTGGAAACGGGATTTCTTCCTCTAATGTTCGACAGAAGAATTCTCAGTAACTTATTTGTGGTGTGTGTATTCAACTCACAGAGTTGAACCTTCCTTTAGACAGAGCAGATTTGAAACAGCCTATTTGTGCAGTTTCCAGTTGGAGATTTCAATCGCTTTGAGACCAAATGTAGAAAAGGAAACATCTTCGTATAAAAACTAGACAGAATCATTCTCAGAAACTACTTTGTGATGTGTGCGTTCAACTCAAGGAGTTTAAGCTTTCTTTTCATAGAGTAGTTTGGAAACACTCTGTCTGTAAAGTCTGCAAGCAGATATTTGGACCTCTTTGGGGCCTTCGTTGGAAACGGGATTTCTTCATAGAACGCTAGAAAGAAGAATACTCAGTAACTTCTTTGTGCTGCCTCTATTCAACTCACAGAGGTGAACTGTCCTTTAGACAGAGCAGATGTGAAACCCTCTTTTTGTGATATTTGCAGGTGGAGATTTCAAGCGCTTTTAGGCCAAATGTAGAAAAGGAAATATCTTCGTATAAAAGCTAGACAGAATCATTCTCAGAAACTACTTTGTGATGTGTGCGTTCAATTCACAGAGGATAACCTTCCTTTTGATGGAGGAGTTTGGAGACACTGTCTTTGTAAAGTCTGCAAGTGGATATTTGGACCTCTTTGAGGCCTTCGTTGGAAACGGGATTTCCTCCTATAATGTTACACAGAAGAATTCTCAGTAACTTATTTGTGGTGTGTTTATTCAACTCACAGAGGTGAACCTTCCTTCAGAAAGAGCAGATTTGAAACACTCTTTTTGTGGAGTTTCCATGTGGAGATTTCAATCGCTTTGAGACCAAAGGTAGAAAAGGAAACATCTTCGTATAAAAACTAGACAGAATCATTCACAGAAACTACTTTGTGATGTGTGTGTTCAACTCAAGGAGTTTAACCTTTCTTTTGATTTAGCAGTTTGGAAACACTCTGTCTGTAAAGTCTGCAAGCAGATATTTGGACCTCTTTGAGGCCTTCGTTGGAAACGGGATTTCTTCATATAATGTTTGATAGGGAGAAGTCTCAGTAACTTCTTTGTGCTGTGTGTATTCAACTCATAGAGTTGAACTTTCCTTTAGAAGAGCAGATGTTAAACACCCTTTTTGTGGAATTTGCAGCTGGAGATTTCAAGCGCTTTGAGGCCTACGGTAGAAAAGGAAACATCTTCTTATAAAATCTAGACAGAATCATTCACAGAAACTTCTTTTTGATGTGTGTGTTCAGCTCACAGAGTTTAACCTTTCTTTTGATGGAGCAGTTGGGAAACACACTGTTTGTAATGTCTGCAAGTGGATATTTGGACCTCTTTGAGGCCTTCGTTGGAAACGGGATTTCTTCCTGTAATGTTCGACAGAAGAATTCTCAGTAACTTATTTGTGGTGTGTGTATTCAACTCACAGAGTTGAACCTTCCTTTAGACAGAGCAGATTTGAAACACCCTATTTGTGCAGTTTCCAGTTGGAGATTTCAATCGCTTTGAGACCAAATGTAGACAAGGAAACATCTTCGTATAAAAACTAGACAGAATCATTCTCAGAAACTACTTTGTGATGTGTGCGTTCAACTCAAGGAGTTTAAGCTTTCTTTTCATAGAGTAGTTTGGAAACACTCTGTCTGTAAAGTCTGCAAGCAGATATTTGGACCTCTTTGGGGCCTTCGTTGGAAACGGGATTTCTTCATAGAACGCTAGAAAGAAGAATACTGAGTACGTTCTTTGTGTTGCCTCTATTCAACTCACAGAGGTGAACTGTCCTTTAGACAGAGCAGATGTGAAACCCTCTTTTTGTGATATTTGCAGGTGGAGATTTCAAGCGCTTTTAGGCCAAATGTAGAAAAGGAAATATCTTCGTATAAAAACTAGACAGAATCATTCTCAGAAACTACTTTGTGATGTGTGCGTTCAATTCACAGAGTATAACCTTTCTTTTGATGGAGGAGTTTGGAGACACTGTCTTTGTAAAGTCTGCAAGTGGATATTTGGACCTCTTTGAGGCCTTTGTTGGAAACGGGATTTCCTCATATAATGTTACACAGGGAGAATTCTCAGTAACTTATTTGTGGTGTGTGTATTCAACTCACAGAGTTGAACCTTCCTTCAGAAAGAGCAGATTTGAAACACTCTTTTTCTGGAGTTTCCATGTGGAGATTTCAATGGCTTTGAGACCAAAGGTAGAAAAGGAAACATCTTCGTATAAAAACTAGACAGAATCATTCACAGAAACTACTTTGTGATGTGTGTGTTCAACTCAAGGAGTTTAACCTTTCTTTTGATGGAGCAGTTTGGAAACACTCTGTCTGTAAAGTCTGCAAGCAGATATTTGGACCTCTTTGAGGCCTTCGTTGGAAACGGGATTTCTTCATATAATGTTTGATAGGAGAAGTCTCAGTAACTTCTTTGTGCTGTGTGTATTCAACTCACAGAGCTGAACTTTACTTTAGACAGAGCGGATGTTAAACACACTTTTTGTGGAATTTGCAGCTGGAGATTTCTAGTGCTTTGAGGCCTATGGTAGAAAAGGAAACATCTTCTTATAAAATCTAGACAGAATCATTCACAGAAACTTCTTTTTGATGTGTGTGTTCATCTCACAGAGTTTAACCTTTCTTTTGACGGAGCAGTTTGCAAACACTGTGTTTGCCATGTCGGCAAGTGGATATTTGGACCTCTTTGAGGCCTTCGTTGGAAACGGGATTTCTTCATGTAATGTTCGAGAGAAGAATTCTCAGTAACTTATTTGTGGTGTGTGTATTCAACTCACAGAGTTGAACCTTCCTTTAGACAGAGCAGATTTGAAACACCCTATTTGTGCAGTTTCCAGTTGGAGATTTCAATCGCTTTGAGACCAAATGTAGAAAAGGAAACATCTTCGTATAAAAACTAGACAGAATCATTCTCAGAAACTACTTTGTGATGTGTGCGTTCAACTCAAGGAGTTTAAGCTTTCTTTTCATCGAGTAGTTTGGAAACACTCTGTCTGTAAAGTCTGCAAGCAGATATTTGACCTCTTTGAGGCCTTCGTTGGAAACGGGATTTCTTCATAGAATGCTAGAAAGAAGAATACTGAGTAAGTTCTTTGTGTTGCCTCTATTCAACTCACAGAGGTGAACAGTCCTTTAGACAGAGCAGATGTGAAACAACCTTTTTGTGATATTTGCAGGTGGAGATTTCAAGCGCTTTTAGGCCAAATGTAGAAAAGGAAATATCTTCGTATAAAAACTAGACAGAATCATTCTCAGAAACTACTTTGTGATGTGTGCGTTCAATTCACAGAGTATAACCTTTCTTTTGATGGAGGAGTTTGGAGACACTGTCTTTGTAAAGTCTGCAAGGAGATATTTGGACCTCTTTGAAGGCCATCGTTGGAAACGGGATTTCTTCATATAATGTTTGATAGGGAAATTCTCAGTAACTTATTTGTGGTGTGTGTATTCAACTCACAGAGTTGAACCTTCCTTCAGAAAGAGCAGATTTGAAACAATCTTTTTGTGGAGTTTCCATGTGGAGATTTCAATCGCTTTGAGACCAAAGGTAGAAAAGGAAACATCTTCGTATAAAAACTAGACAGAATCATTCACAGAAACTACTTTGTGATGTGTGTGTTCAACTCAAGGAGTTTAACCTTTCTTTTGATGGAGCAGTTTGGAAAAACTCTGTCTGTAAAGTCTGCAAGCAGATATTTGTACCTCTTTGAGGCCTTCGTTGGAAACGGGATTTCTTCATCTAATGTTTGATAGGAGAAGTCTCAGTAACTTCTTTGTGCTGTGTGTATTCAACTCATAGAGTTGAACTTTCCTTTAGAAGAGCAGATGTTAAACACCCTTTTTGTGGAATTTGCAGCTGGAGATTTCAAGCGCTTTGAGGCCTACGGTAGAAAAGGAAACATCTTCTTATAAAATCTAGACAGAATCATTCACAGAAACTTCTCTTTGATGTGTGTGTTCAGCTCACAGAGTTTAACCTTTCTTTTGATGGGGCAGTTTGGAAACACACTGTTTGTAATGTCTGCAAGTGGATATTTGGACCTCTTTGAGGCCTTCGTTGGAAACGGGATTTCTTCCTGTAATGTTCGACAGAAGAATTCCCAGTAACTCATTTGTGGTGTGTGTATTCAACTCACAGAGTTGAACCTTCCTTTAGACACAGCAGATTTGAAACACCCTATTTGTGCAGTTTCCAGTTGGAGATTTCAATCGCTTTGAGACCAAATGTAGAAAAGGAAACATCTTCGTATAAAAACTAGACAGAATCATTCTCAGAAACTAATTTGTGATGTGTGCGTTCAACTCAAGGAGTTTAAGCTTTCTTTTCATAGAGTAGTTTGGAAACACTCTGTCTGTAAAGTCTGCAAGCAGATATTTGGACCTCTTTGAGGTCTTCGTTGGAAACGGTATTTCTTCATAGAACGCTAGAAAGAAGAATACTCAGTAACTTCTTTGTGTTGAATCTATTCAACTCACAGAGGTGAACTGTCCTTTAGACAGAGCAGATGTGAAACCCTCTTTTTGTGATATTTGCAGGTGGAGATTTCAAGCGCTTTTTGGCCAAATGTAGAAAAGGAAATATCTTCGTATAAAAACTAGACAGATAATCATTCTCAGAAACTACTTTGTGATGTGTGCGTTCAATTCACAGAGTATAACCTTTCTTTTGATGGAGGAGTTTGGAGACACTGTCTTTGTAAAGTCTGCAAGTGGATATTTGGACCTCTTTGAGGCCTTCGTTGGAAACGGGATTTCCTCATATAATGTTACACAGAAGAATTCTCAGTAACTTATTTGTGGTGTGTGTATTCAACTCACAGAGTTGAACCTTCCTTCAGAAAGAGCAGATTTGAAACACTCTTTTTGAGGAGTTTCCATGTGGAGATTTCAATCGCTTTGAGACCAAAGGTAGAAAAGGAAACATCTTCGTATAAAAACTAGACAGAATCATTCACAGAAACTACTTTGTGATGTGTGTGTTCAACTCAAGGAGTTTAACCTTTCTTTTGATGGAGCAGTTTGGAAACACTCTGTCTGTAAAGTCTGCAAGCAGACATTTGGACCTCTTTGAGGCCTTCGTTGGAAACGGGATTTCTTCATATAATGTTTGATAGGAGAAGTCTCAGTAACTTCTTTGTGCTGTGTGTATTCAACTCATAGAGTTGAACTTTCCTTTAGAAGAGCAGATGTTAAACACCCTTTTTGTGGAATTTGCAGCTGGAGATTTCAAGCGCTTTGAGGCCTACGGTAGAAAAGGAAACATCTTCTTATAAAATCTAGACAGAATCATTCACAGAAACTTCTTTTTGATGTGTGTGTTCAGCTCACAGAGTTTAACCTTTCTTTTGATGGAGCAGTTTGGAAACACACTGTTTGTAATGGCTGCAAGTGGATATTTGGACCTCTTTGAGGTCTTCGTTGGAAACGGGATTTCTTCATGTAATGTTCGACAGAAGAATTCTCAGTAACTTATTTGTGGTGTGTGTATTCAACTCACAGATTTGAACCTTCCTTTAGACAGAGCAGATTTGAAACACCCTATTTGTGCAGTTTCCAGTTGGAGATTTCAATCGCTTTGAGACCAAAGGTAGAAAAGGAAACATCTTCGTATAAAAACTAGACAGAATCATTCTCAGAAACTACTTTGTGATATGTGCGTTCAACTCAAGGAGTTTAAGCTTTCTTTTCATAGAGTAGTTTGGAAACACTCTGTCTGTAAAGTCTGCAATCAGATATTTGGACCTCTTTGAGGCCTTCGTTGGAAACGGGATTTCTTCATAGAACGCTAGAAAGAAGAATACTGAGTAAGTTCTTTGTGTTGCCTCTATTCAACTCACAGAGGTGAACTGTCCTTTAGACAGAGCAGATGTGAAACCCTCTTTTTGTGATATTTGCAGGTGGAGATTTCAAGCGCTTTTAGGCCAAATGTGGAAAAGGAAATATCTTCTTATAAAAAGTAGACAGAATCATTCTCAGAAACTACTTTGTGATGTGTGTGTTCAATTCACAGAGTATAACCTTTCTTTTGATGGAGGAGTTTGGAGACACTGTCTTTGTAAAGACTGCAAGTGGATATTTGGACCTCTTTGAGGCCTTCGTTCGAAACGGGATTTCCTCATATAATTTTACACAGAAGAATTCTCAGTAACTTATTTGTGGTGTGTGTATTCAACTCACAGAGTTGAACCTTCCTTCAGAAAGAGCAGATTTGAAACACTCTTTTTTGTGGAGTTTCCATGTGGAGATTTCAATCGCTTTGAGACCAAAGGTAGAAAAGGAAACATCTTCGTATAAAAACTAGACAGAATCATTCACAGAAACTACTTTGTGATGTGTGTGTTCAACTCAAGGAGGTTAACCTTTCTTTTGATGGAGCAGTTTGGAAACACTCTGTCTGTAAAGTCTGCAAGCAGATATTTGGACCTCTTTGAGGCCTTCGTTGGAAACGGGATTTCTTCATATAATGTTTGATAGGAGAAGTCTCAGTAACTTCTTTGTGCTGTGTGTATTCAACTCATAGAGTTGAACTTTCCTTTAGAAGAGCAGATGTTAAACACCCTTTTTGTGGAATTTGCAGCTGGAGATTTCAAGCGCTTTGAGGCCTACGGTAGAAAAGGAAACATCTTCTTATAAAATCTAGACAGAATCATTCACAGAAACTTCTTTTTGATGTGTGTGTTCAGCTCACAGAGTTTAACCTTTCTTTTGATGGAGCAGTTTGGAAACACTCTGTTTGTAATGTCTGCAAGTGGATATTTGGACCTCTTTGAGGCCTTCGTTGGAAACGGGATTTCTTCATGTAATGTTCGACAGAAGAATTCTCAGTAACTTATTTGTGGTGTGTGTATTCAACTCACAGAGTTGAACCTTCCTTTAGACAGAGCAGATTTGAAACACCCTATTTGTGCAGTTTCCAGTTGGAGATTTCAATCGCTTTGAGACCAAATGTAGAAAAGGAAACATCTTCGTATTAAAACTAGAGAGAATCATTCTCAGAAACTACTTTGTGATGTGTGCGTTCAACTCAAGGAGTTTAAGCTTTCTTTTCATAGAGTAGTTTGGAAACACTCTGTCTGTAAAGTCTGCAAGCAGATATTTGACCTCTTTGAGGCCTTCGTTGGAAACGGGATTTCTTCATAGAACGCTAGAAAGAAGAATACTGAGTAAGTTCTTTGTGTTGCCTCTATTCAACACACAGAGGTGAACTGTCCTTTAAAAAGAGCAGATGTGAAACCCTCTTTTTGTGATATTTGCAGGTGGAGATTTCAAGCGCTTTTAGGCCAAATGTAGAAAAGGAAATATCTTCGTATAAACACTAGACAGAATCATTCTCAGAAACTACTTTGTGATGTGTGCGTTCAATTCACAGAGTATAACCTTTCTTTTGATGGAGGAGTTTGGAGACACTGTCTTTGTAAAGTCTGCAAGTGGATATTTGGACCTCTTTGAGGCCTTCGTTGGAAACGGGATTTCCTCATATAATGTTACACAGAAGAATTCTCAGTAACTTATTTGTGGTGTGTGTATTCAACTCACAAAGTTGAACCTTCCTTCAGAAAGAGCAGATTTGAAACACTCTTTTTGTGGAGTTTCCATGTGGAGATTTCAATCGCATTGAGACCAAAGGTAGAAAAGGAAACATCTTCGTGTAAAATCTAGACAGAATCATTCACAGAAACTACTTTGTGATGTGTGTGTTCAACTCAAGGAGTTTAACCTTTCTTTTGATGGAGCAGTTTGGAAACACTCTGTCTGTAAAGTCTGCAAGCAGATATTTGGACCTCTTTGAGGCCTTCGTTGGAAACGGGATTTCTTCATATAATGTTTGATAGGAGAAGTCTCAGTAACTTCTTTGTGCTGTGTGTATTCAACTCATAGAGTTGAACTTTCCTTTAGAAGACCAGATGTTAAACACCCTTTTTGTGGAATTTGCAGCTGGAGATTTCAAGCGCTTTGAGGCCTACGGTAGAAAAGGAAACATCTTCTTATAAAATCTAGACAGAATCATTCACAGAAACATCTTTTTGATGTGTGTGTTCATCTCACAGAGTTTAACCTTTCTTTTGATGGAGCAGTTTGCAAACACTGTGTTTGCCATGTCGGCAAGTGGATATTTGGACCTCTTTGAGGCCTTCGTTGGAAACGGGATTTCTTCATGTAATGTTCGAGACAAGAATTCTCAGTAACTTATTTGTGGTGTGTGTATTCAACTCACAGAGTTCAACCTTCCTTTAGACAGAGCAGATTTGAAACACCCTATTTGTGCAGTTTCCAGTTGGAGATTTCAATCGCTTTGAGACCAAATGTAGAAAACGAAACATCTTCGTATAAAAACTAGACAGAATCATTCTCAGTAACTACTTTGTGATGTGTGCGTTCAACTCAAGGAGTTTAAGCTTTCTTTTCATAGAGTAGTTTGGAAACACTCTGTCTGTAAAGTCTGCAAGCAGATATTTGACCTCTTTGAGGCCTTCGTTGGAAACGGGATTTCTTCATAGAACGCTAGAAAGAAGAATACTGAGTAAGTTCTTTGTGTTGCCTCTATTCAACTCACAGAGGTGAACTGTCCTTTAGACAGAGCAGATGTGAAACCCTCTTTTTGTGATATTTGCAGGTGGAGATTTCAAGCGCTTTTAGGCGAAATGTAGAAAAGGAAATATCTTCGTATAAAAACTAGACAGAATCATTCTCAGAAACTACTTTGTGATGTGTGCGTTCAATTCACAGAGTATAACCTTTCTTTTGGTGGAGGAGTTTGGAGGCACTGTCTTTGTAAAGTCTGCAAGTGGATATTTGGACCTCTTTGAGGCCTCCGTTGGAAACGGGATTTCCTCATATAATGTTACACAGAAGAATTCTCAGTAACTTATTTGTGGTGTGTGTATTCAACTCACAGAGATGAACCTTCCTTCAGAAAGAGCAGATTTGAAACACTCTTTTTGTGGAGTTTCCATGTGGAGATTTCAATCGCTTTGAGACCAAAGGTAGAAAAGGAAACATCTTCGTATAACAACTAGACAGAATCATTCACAGAAACTACTTTGTGATGTGTGTGTTCAACTCAAGGAGTTTAAACTTCCTTTTGATGGAGCAGTTTGGAAACACTCTGTCTGTAAAGTCTGCAAGCAGATATTTGGACCTCTTTGAGGCCTTCGTTGGAAACGGGATTTCTTCATATAATGTTTGATAGGAGAAGTCTCAGTAACTTCTTTGGGCTGTGTGTATTCAACTCATTGAGTTGAACTTTCCTTTAGAAGAGCAGATGTTAAACACCCTTTTTGTGGAATTTGCAGCTGGAGATTTCAAGCACTTTGAGGCCTACAGTAGAAAAGGAAACATCTTCTTATAAAATCTAGACAGAATCATTCACAGAAACTTCTTTTTGATGTGTGTGTTCATCTCACAGAGTTTAACCTTTCTTCTGACGGAGCAGTTTGCAAACACTGTGTTTGCCATGTCGGCAAGTAGATATTTGGAACTCTTTGAGGCCTTCGTTGGAAACGGGATTTCTTCATGTAATGTTCGAGAGAAGAATTCTCAGTAACTTATTTGTGGTGTGTGTATTCAACTCACAGAGTTGAACCTTCCTTTAGACAGAGCAGATTTGAAACACCCTATTTGTGCAGTTTCCAGTTGGAGATTTCAATCGCTTTGAGACCAAATGTAGAAAAGGAAACATCTTCGTATAAAAACTAGACAGAATCATTCTCAGAAACTACTTTGTGATGTGTGCGTTCAACTCAAGGAGTTTAAGCTTTCTTTTCATAGAGTAGTTTGGAAACACTCTGTCTGTAAAGTCTGCAAGCAGATATTTGACCTCTTTGAGGCCTTCGTTGGAAACGGGATTTCTTCATAGAATGCTAGAAAGAAGAATACTGAGTAAGTTCTTTGTGTTGCCTCTACTCAACTCACAGAGGTGAACTGTCCTTTAGACAGAGCAGATGTGAAACCCTCTTTTTGTGATATTTGCAGGTGGAGATTTCAAGCGCTTTTAGGCCAAATGTAGAAAAGGAAATATCTTCGTATAAAAACTAGACAGAATCATTCTCAGAAACTACTTTGTGATGTGTGCGTTCAATTCACAGAGTATAACCTTTCTTTTGATGGAGGAGTTTGGAGACACTGTCTTTGTAAAGTCTGCAAGTGGATATTTGGACCTCTTTGAGGCCTTCGTTGGAAACGGGATTTCCTCATATAATGTTACACAGAAGAATTCTCAGTAACTTATTTGTGGTGTGTTTATTCAACTCACAGAGGTGAACCTTCCTTCAGAAAGAGCAGATTTGAAACACTCTTTTTGTGGAGTTTCCATGTGGAGATTTCAATCGCTTTGAGACCAAAGGTAGAAAAGGAAACATCTTCGTATAAAAACTAGACAGAATCATTCACAGAAACTACTTTGTGATGTGTGTGTTCAACTCAAGGAGTTTAACCTTTCTTTTGATGGAGCAGTTTGGAAAAACTCTGTCTTTAAAGTCTGCAAGCAGATATTTGGACCTCTTTGAGGCCTTCGTTGGAAACGGGATTTCTTCATATAATGTTTGATAGGAGAAGTCTCAGTAACTTCTTTGTGCTGTGTGTATTCAACTCATAGAGTTGAACTTTCCTTTAGAAGAGCAGATGTTAAACACCCTTTTTGTGGAATTTGCAGCTGGAGATTTCAAGCGCTTTGAGGCCTACGGTAGAAAAGGAAACATCTTCTTATAAAATCTAGACAGAATCATTCACAGAAACTTCTTTTTGATGTGTGTGTTCAGCTCACAGAGTTTAACCTTTCTTTTGATGGAGCAGTTTGGAAACACTCTGTTTGTAATGTCTGCAAGTGGATATTTGGACCTCTTTGAGGCCTTCGTTGGAAACGGGATTTCTTCAAGTAATGGTCGACAGAAGAATTCTCAGTAACTTATTTGTGGTGTGTGTATTCAACTCACAGAGTTGAACCTTCCTTTAGACAGAGCAGATTTGAAACAGCCTATTTGTGCAGTTTCCAGTTGGAGATTTCAATCGCTTTGAGACCAAATGTAGAAAAGGAAACATCTTCGTATAAAAACTAGACAGAATCATTCTCAGAAACTACTTTGTGATGTGTGCGTTCAACTCAAGGAGTTTAAGCTTTCTTTTCATAGAGTAGTTTGGAAACACTCTGTCTGTAAAGTCTGCAAGCAGATATTTGGACCTCTTTGGGGCCTTCGTTGGAAACGGGATTTCTTCATAGAACGCTAGAAAGAAGAATACTGAGTAAGTTCTTTGTGTTGCCTCTATTCAACTCACAGAGGTGAACTGTCCTTTAGACAGAGCAGATGTGAAACCCTCTTTTTGTGATATTTGCAGGTGGAGATTTCAAGCGCTTTTAGGCCAAATGTAGAAAAGGAAATATCTTCGTATAAAAACTAGACAGAATCATTCTCAGAAACTACTTTGTGATGTGTGCGTTCAATTCACAGAGTATAACCTTTCTTTTGATGGAGGAGTTTGGAGACACTGTCTTTGTAAAGTCTGCAAGTGGATATTTGGACCTCTTTGAGGCCTTCGTTGGAAACGGGATTTCCTCATATAATGTTACCCAGAAGAATTCTCAGTAACTTATTTGTGGTGTGTGTATTCAACTCACAGAGTTGAACCTTCCTTCAGAAAGAGCAGATTTGAAACACTCTTTTTGTGGAGTTTCCATGTGGAGATTTCAATCGCTTTGAGACCAAAGGTAGAAAAGGAAACATCTTCGTATAAAAACTAGACAGAATCATTCACAGAAACTACTTTGTGATGTGTGTGTTCAACTCAAGGAGTTTAACCTTTCTTTTGATGGAGCAGTTTGGAAACACTCTGTCTGTAAAGTCTGCAAGCAGATATTTGGACCTCTTTGAGGCCTTCGTTGGAAACGGGATTTCTTCATATAATGTTTGATAGGAGAAGTCTCAGTAACTTCTTTGTGCTGTGTGTATTCAACTCATAGAGTTGAACTTTCCTTTAGAAGAGCAGATGTTAAACACCCTTTTTGTGGAATTTGCAGCTGGAGATTTCAAGCGCTTTGAGGCCTACGGTAGAAAAGGAAACATCTTCTTATAATATCTAGACAGAATCATTCACAGAAACTTCTTTTTGATGTGTGTGTTCAGCTCACAGAGTTTAACCTTTCTTTTGATGGAGCAGTTGGGAAACACACTGTTTGTAATGTCTGCAAGTGGATATTTGGACCTCTTTGAGGCCTTCGTTGGAAACGGGATTTCTTCCTGTAATGTTCGACAGAAGAATTCTCAGTAACTTATTTGTGGTGTGTGTATTCAACTCACAGAGCTGAACCTTCCTTTAGACAGAGCAGATTTGAAACAGCCTATTTGTGCAGTTTCCAGTTGGAGATTTCAATCGCTTTGAGACCAAATGTAGAAAAGGAAACATCTTCGTATAAAAACTAGACAGAATCATTCTCAGAAACTACTTTGTGATGTGTGCATTCAACTCAAGGAGTTTAAGCTTTCTTTTCATAGAGTAGTTTGGAAACACTCTGTCTGTAAAGTCTGCAAGCAGATATTTGGACCTCTTTGGGGCCTTTGTTGGAAACGGGATTTCTTCATAGAACGCTAGAAAGAAGAATACTCAGTAAGTTCTTTGTGTTGCCTCTATTCAACTCACAGAGGTGAACTGTCCTTTAGACAGAGCAGATGTGAAACCCTCTTTTTGTGATATTTGCAGGTGGAGATTTCAAGCGCTTTTAGGCCAAATGTAGAAAAGGAAATATCTTCGTATAAAAACTAGACAGAATCATTCTCAGAAACTACTTTGTGATGTGTCCGTTCAATTCACAGAGTATAACCTTTCTTTTGATGGAGGAGTTTGGAGACACTGTCTTTGTAAAGTCTGCAAGTGGATATTTGGACCTCTTTGAGGCCTTCGTTGGAAACGGGATTTCCTCATATAATGTTACACAGAGTAATTCTCAGTAACTTATTTGTGGTGTGTGTATTCAACTCACAGAGATGAACCTTCCTTCAGAAAGAGCAGATTTGAAACACTCTTTTTGTGGAGTTTCCATGTGGAGATTTCAATCGATTTGAGACCAAAGGTAGAAAAGGAAACATCTTCGTATAACAACTAGACAGAATCATTCACAGAAACTACTTTGTGATGTGTGTGTTCAACTCAAGGAATTTAACCTTTCTTTTGATGGAGCAGTTTGGAAAAACTCTGTCTGTAAAGTCTGCAAGCAGATATTTGGACCTCTTTGAGGCCTTCGTTGGAAACGGGATTTCTTCATATAATGTTTGATAGGAGAAGTCTCAGTAACTTCTTTGTGCTGTGTGTATTCAACTCATAGAGTTGAACTTTCCTTTAGAAGAGCAGATGTTAAGCACCCTTTTTGTGGAATTTGCAGCTGGAGATTTCAAACGCTTTGAGGCCTACGTTAGAAAAGGAAACATCTTCTTATAAAATCTAGACAGAATCATTCACAGAATCTTCTTTTTGATGTGTGTGTTCAGCTCACAGAGTTTAACCTTTCTTTTGATGGAGCAGTTTGGAAACACACTGTTTGTAATGTCTGCAAGTGGATATTTGAACCTCTTTGAGGCCTTCGTTGGAAACGGGATTTCTTCATGTAATGTTCGACAGAAGAATTCTCAGTAACTTATTTGTGGTGTGTGTATTCAACTCACAGAGTTGAACCTTCCTTTAGACAGAGCAGATTTGAAACACCCTATTTGTGCAGTTTCCAGTTGGAGATTTCAATCGCTTTGAGACCAAATGTAGAAAAGGAAACATCTTCGTATAAAAACTAGACAGAATCATTCTCAGAAACTACTTTGTGATGTGTGCGTTCAACTCAAGGAGTTTAAGCTTTCTTTTCATAGAGTAGTTTGGAAACACTCTGTCTGTAAAGACTGCAAGCAGATATTTGGACCTCTTTGGGGCCTTCGTTGGAAACGGGATTTCTTCATAGAACGCTAGAAAGAAGAATACTGAGTAAGTTCTTTGTGTTGCCTCTATTCAACTCACAGAGGTGAACTGTCCTTTAGACAGAGCAGATGTGAAACCCTCTTTTTGTGATATTTGCAGGTGGAGATTTCAAGCGCTTTTAGGCCAAATGTAGAAAAGGAAATATCTTCGTATAAAAACTAGACAGAATCATTCTCAGAAACTACTTTGTGATGTGTGCGTTCAATTCACAGAGTATAACCTTTCTTTTGATGGAGGAGTTTAGAGACACTGTCTTTGTAAAGTCTGCAAGTGGATATTTGGACCTCTTTGAGGCCTTCGTTGGAAACGGGATTTCCTCATATAATGTTACACAGAAGAATTCTCAGTAACATATTTGTGGTGTGTGTATTCAACTCACAGAGTTGAACCTTCCTTCAGAAAGAGCAGATTTGAAACACTCTTTTTGTGGAGTTTCCATGTGGAGATTTCAATGGCTTTGAGACCAAAGGTAGAAAAGGAAACATCTTCGTATAAAAAGTAGACAGAATCATTCACAGAAACTACTTTGTGATGTGTGTGTTCAACTCAAGGAGTTTAACCTTTCTTTTGATGGAGCAGTTTGGAAACACTCTGTCTGTAAAGTCTGCAAGCAGATATTTGGACCTCTTTGAGGCCTTCGTTGGAAACGGGATTTCTTCATATAATGTTTGATAGGAGAAGTCTCAGTAACTTCTTTGTGCTGTGTGTATTCAACTCATAGAGTTGAACTTTCCTTTAGAAGAGCAGATGTTAAACACCCTTTTTGTGGAATTTGCAGCTGGAGATTTCAAGCGCTTTGAGGCCTACGGTAGAAAAGGAAACATCTTCTTATAAAATCTAGACAGAATCATTCACAGAAACTTCTTTTTGATGTGTGGGTTCAGCTCACAGAGTTTAACCTTTCTTTTGATGGAGCAGTTTGGAAACACTCTGTTTGTAATGTCTGCAAGTGGATATTTGGACCTCTTTGAGGCCTTCGTTGGAAACGGGATTTCTTCAAGTAATGTTCGACAGAAGAATTCTCAGTAACTTATTTGTGGTGTGTGTATTCAACTCACAGAGTTGAACCTTCCTTTAGACAGAGCAGATTTGAAACACCCTATTTGTGCAGTTTCCAGTTGGAGATTTCAATCGCTTTGAGGCCAATCGTAGAAACGGAAATATCTTCGTAAAAAAACAAGACAGAATCATTCTCAGAAACTACTTGGTGATGTGTGCGTTCAACTCAAGGAGTTTAAGCTTTCTTTTCATAGAGTAGTTTGGAAACACTCTGTCTGTAAAGTCTGCAAGCAGATATTTGGACCTCATTGGGGTCTTCATTGGAAACAGGATTTCTTCATAGAACGCTAGAAAGAAGAATACTGAGTAAGTTCTTTGTGTTGCCTCTATTCAACTCACAGAGGTGAACTGTCCTTTAGACAGAGCAGATGTGAAACCCTCTTTTTGTGATATTTGCAGGTGGAGATTTCAAGCGCTTTTAGGCCAAATGTAGAAAAGGAAATATCTTCGTATAAAAACTAGACAGAATCATTCTCAGAAACTACTTTGTGATGTGTGCGTTCAATTCACAGAGTATAACCTTTCTTTTGATGGAGGAGTTTGGAGACACTGTGTTTGTAAAGTCTGCAAGTGGATATTTGGATCTCTTTGAGGCCTTCGTTGGAAACGGGATTTCCTCATATAATGTTACACAGAAGAATTCTCAGTAACTTATTTGTGGTGTGTGTATTCAACTCACAGAGATGAACCTTCCTTCAGAAAGAGCAGATTTGAAACACTCTTTTTGTGGAGTTTCCATGTGGAGATTTCAATCGCATTGAGACCAAAGGTAGAAAAGGAAACATCTTCGTATAAAAACTAGACAGAATCATTCACAGAAACTACTTTGTGATGTGTGTGTTCAACTCAAGGAGTTTAACCTTTCTTTTGATGGAGCAGTTTGGAAAAACTCTGTCTGTAAAGTCTGCAAGCAGATATTTGGACCTCTTTGAGGCCTTCGTTGGAAACGGGATTTATTCATAGAATGCTAGAAAGAAGAAGTCTCAGTAACTTCTTTGTGCTGTGTGTATTCAACTCATAGAGTTGAACTTTCCTTTAGAAGAGCAGATGTTAAACACCCTTTTTGTGGAATTTGCAGCTGGAGATTTCAAGCGCTTTGAGGCTTACGGTAGAAAAGGAAACATCTTCTTATAAAATCTAGACAGAATCATTCACAGAAACTTCTTTTCGATGTGTGTGTTCAGCTCACAGAGTTTAACCTTTCTTTTGATGGAGCAGTTTGGAAACACTCTGTTTGTAATGTCTGCAAGTGGATATTTGGACCTCTTTGAGGCCTTCGTTGGAAACGGGATTTCTTCAAGTAATGTTCGACAGAAGAATTCTCAGTAACTTATTTGTGGTGTGTGTATTCAACTCACAGAGTTGAACCTTCCTTTAGACAGAGCAGATTTGAAACACCCTATTTGTGCAGTTTCCAGTTGGAGATTTCAATCGCTTTGAGACCAAATGTAGAAAAGGAAACATCTTCGTATAAAAACTAGACAGAATCATTCTCAGAAACTACTTTGTGATGTGTGCGTTCAACTCAAGGAGTTTAAGCTTTCTTTTCATAGAGTAGTTTGGAAACACTCTGTCTGTAAAGTCTGCAAGCAGATATTTGGACCTCTTTGAGGCCTTCGTTGGAAACGGGATTTCTTCATAGAGCGCTAGAAAGAAGAATACTGAGTAAGTTCTTTGTGTTGCCTCTATTCAACTCACAGAGGTGAACTGTCCTTTAGACAGAGCAGATGTGAAACCCTGTTTTTGTGATATTTGCACGTGGAGATTTCAAGCGCTTTCAGGCCAAATGTAGAAAAGGAAATATCTTCGTATAAAAACTAGACAGAATCATTCTCAGAAACTACTTTGTGATGTGTGCGTTCAATTCACAGAGTATAACCTTTCTTTTGATGGAGGAGTTTGGAGACACTGTCTTTGTAAGTCTGCAAGTGGATATTTGGACCTCTTTGAGGCCTTCGTTGGAAACGGGATTTCCTCATATAATGTTACACAGAAGAATTCTCAGTAACTTATTTGTGGTGTGTGTATTCAACTCACAGAGTTGAACCTTCCTTCAGAAAGAGCAGATTTGAAACACTCTTTTTGTGGAGTTTCCATGTGGAGATTTCAATCGCTTTGAGACCAAAGGTAGAAAAGGAAACATCTTCGTATAAAAACTAGACAGAATCATTCACAGAAACTACTTTGTGATGTGTGCGTTCAATTCACAGAGTATAACCTTTCTTTTGATGGAGGAGTTTGGAGACACTGTCTTTGTAAAGTCTGCAAGCAGATATTTGGACCTCTTTCAGGCCATCGTTAGAAACGGGATTTCTTCATATAATGTTTAATAGGAGAAGTCTCAGTAACTTCTTTGTGCTGTGTGTATTCAACTCATAGAGTTGAACTTTCCTTTAGAAGAGCAGATGTTAAACACCCTTTTTGTGGAATTTGCAGCTGGAGATTTCAAGCGCTTTGAGGCCTACGGTAGAAAAGGAAACATCTTCTTACAAAATCTAGACAGAATCATTCACAGAAACTTCTTTTTGATGTGTGTGTTCAGCTCACAGAGTTTAACCTTTCTTTTGATGGAGCAGTTTGGAAACACTCTGTTTGTAATGTCTGCAAGTGGATATTTGGACCTCTTTGAGGCCTTCGTTGGAAACGGGATTTCTTCATATAATGTTTGATAGGAGAAGTCTCAGTAACTTCTTTGTGCTGTGTGTATTCAACTCATAGAGTTGAACTTTCCTTTAGAAGAGCAGATGTTAAACACCCTTTTTGTGGAATTTGCAGCTGGAGATTTCAAGCGCTTTGAGGCCTACGGTAGAAAAGGAAACATCTTCTTATAAAATCTAGACAGAATCATTCACAGAAACTTCTTTTTGATGTGTGTGTTCAGCTCACAGAGTTTAACCTTTCTTTTGATGGAGCAGTTTGGAAACACTCTGTTTGTAATGTCTGCAAGTGGATATTTGGACCTCTTTGAGGCCTTCGTTGGAAACGGGATTTCTTCCTGTAATGTTCGACAGAAGAATTCTCAGTAACTTATTTGTGGTGTGTGTATTCAACTCACAGAGTTGAACCTTCCTTTAGACAGAGCAGATTTGAAACAGCCTATTTGTGCAGTTTCCAGTTGGAGATTTCAAGAGCTTTGAGACCAAATGTAGAAAAGGAAACATCTTCGTATAAAAACTAGACAGAATCATTCTCAGAAACTACTTTGTGATGTGTGCGTTCAACTCAAGGAGTTTAAGCTTTCTTTTCATAGAGTAGTTTGGAAACACTCTGTCTGTAAAGTCTGCAAGCAGATATTTGGACCTCTTTGAGGCCTTCGTTGGAAACGGGATTTCTTCATAGAACGCTAGAAAGAAGAATACTGAGTAAGTTCTTTGTGTTGCCTCTATTCAACTCACAGAGGTGAACTGTCCTTTAGACAGAGCAGATGTGAAACCCTGTTTTTGTGATATTTGCAGGTGGAGATTTCAAGCGCTTTTAGGCCAAATGTAGAAAAGGAAATATCTTCATATAAAAACTAGACAGAATCATTCTCAGAAACTACTTTGTGATGTGTGCGTTCAATTCACAGAGTATAACCTTTCTTTTGATGGAGGAGTTTGGAGACACTGTCTTTGTAATGTCTGCAAGTGGATATTTGGATCTCTTTGAGGCCTTCGTTGGAAACGGGATTTCCTCATATAATGTTACACAGAAGAATTCTCACTAACTTATTTGTGGTGTGTGTATTCAACTCACAGAGATGAACCTTCCTTCAGAAAGAGCAGATTTGAAACACTCTTTTTGTGGAGTTTCCATGTGGAGATTTCAATCGCTTTGAGACCAAAGGTAGAAAAGGAAACATCTTCGTATAACAACTAGACAGAATCATTCACAGAAACTACTTTGTGATGTGTGTGTTCAACTCAAGGAGTTTAACCTTTCTTTTGATGGAGCAGTTTGGAAACACTCTGTCTGTAAAGTCTGCAAGCAGATATTTGGACCTCTTTGAGGCCTTCGTTGGAAACGGGATTTCTTCATATAATGTTTGATAGGAGAAGTCTCAGTAACTTCTTTGTGCTGTGTGTATTCAACTCATAGAGTTGAACTTTCCTTTAGAAGAGCAGATGTTAAACACCCTTTTTGTGGAATTTGCAGCTGGAGATTTCAAGCGCTTTGAGGCCTACGGTAGAAAAGGAAACATCTTCTTATAAAATCTAGACAGAATCATTCACAGAAACTTCTTTTTGATGTGTGTGTTCAGCTCACAGAGTTTAACCTTTCTTTTGATGGAGCAGTTGGGAAACACACTGTTTGTAATGTCTGCAAGTGGATATTTGGACCTCTTTGAGGCCTTCGTTGGAAACGGGATTTCTTCCTGTAATGTTCGACAGAAGAATTCTCAGTAACTTATTTGTGATGTGTGTATTCAACTCACAGAGTTGAACCTTCCTTTAGACAGAGCAGATTTGAAACACCCTATTTGTGCAGTTTCCAGTTGGAGATTTCAATCGCTTTGAGACCAAATGTAGAAAAGGAAACATCCTTCGTATAAAAACTAGACAGAAATCATTCTGAGTAAACTACTTTGTGATGTATGCGTTCCACTCAAGGAGTTTAAGCTTTCTTTTCATAGAGTAGTTTGGAAACACTCTGTCTGTGAAGTCTGCAAGCAGATATTTGGACCTCTTTGAGGCCTTCGTTGGAAACGGGATTTCTTCATAGAACGCTAGAAAGAAGAATACTGAGTAAGTTCTTTGTGTTGCCTCTATTCAACTCACAGAGGTGAACTGTCCTTTAGACAGAGCAGATGTGAAACCCTCTTTTTGTGATATTTGCAGGTGGAGATTTCAAGCGCTTTTAGGCCAAATGTAGAAAAGGAAATATCTTCGTATAAAAACTAGACAGAATCATTCTCAGAAACTACTTTGTGATGTGTGCGTTCAATTCACAGAGTATAACCTTTCTTTTGATGGTGGAGTTTGGAGACACTGTCTTTGTAAGTCTGCAAGTGGATATTTGGACCTCTTTGAGGCCTTCGTTGGAAACGGGATTTCCTCATATAATGTTACACAGAAGAATTCTCAGTAACTTATTAGTGGTGTGTGTATTCAACTCACAGAGTTGAACCTTCCTTCAGAAAGAGCAGATTTGAAACACTCTTTTTGTGGAGTTTCCATGTGGAGATTTCAATCGCATTGAGACCAAAGGTAGAAAAGGAAACATCTTCGTATAAAAACTAGACAGAATCATTCACAGAAACTACTTTGTGATGTGTGTGTTCAACTCAAGGAATTTAACGTTTCTTTTGATGGAGCAGTTTGGAAACACTCTGTCTGTAAAGTCTGCAAGCAGATATTTGGACCTCTTTGAGGCCTTCGTTGGAAACGGGATTTCTTCATATAATGTTTGATAGGAGAAGTCTCAGTAACTTCTTTGTGCTGTGTGTATTCAACTCATACAGTTGAACTTTCCTTTAGAAGAGCAGATGTTAAACACCCTTTTTGTGGAATTTGCAGCTGGAGATTTCAAGCGCTTTGTGGCCTACGGTAGAAAAGGAAACATCTTCTTATAAAATCTAGACAGAATCATTCACAGAAACTTCTTTTTGATGTGTGTTCAGCTCACAGAGTTTAACCTTTCTTTTGATGGAGCAGTTTGGAAACACACTGTTTGTAATGTCTGCAAGTGGATATTTGGACCTCTTTGAGGCCTTCGTTGGAAACGGGATTTCTTCATGTAATGTTCGACAGAAGAATTCTCAGTAACTTATTTGTGGTGTGTGTATTCAACTCACAGAGTTGAACCTTCCTTTAGACAGAGCAGATTTGAAACACCCTATTTGTGCAGTTTCCAGTTGGAGATTTCAATCGCTTTGAGGCCAATGATAGAAACGGAAATAACCTTGTATAAAAACAAGACAGAATCATTCTCAGAAACTACTTTGTGATGTGTGCGTTCAACTCAAGGAGTTTAAGCTTTCTTTTCATAGAGTAGTTTGGAAACACTCTGTCTGTAAAGTCTGCAAGCAGGTATTTGGGCCTCTTTGAGGCCTTCGTTGGAAACGGGATTTCTTCATGTAACGCTAGAAAGAAGAATACTGAGTAAGTTCTTTGTGTTGCCTCTATTCAACTCACAGAGGTGAACTGTCCTTTAGACAGAGCAGATGTGAAACCCTCTTTTTGTGATATTTGCAGGTGGAGATTTCAAGCACTTTCAGGCCAATTGTAGAAAAGGAAATATCTTCGTATAAAAACCAGACAGAATCATTCTCAGAAACTACTTTGTGATGTGTGCGTTCAATTCACAGAGTATAACCTTTCTTTTGATGGAGGAGTTTGGAGACACTGTCTTTGTAAAGTCTGCAAGTGGATATTTGGATCTCTTTGAGGCCTTCGTTTGAAACGGGATTTCCTCATATAATGTTACACAGAAGAATTCTCAGTAACTTATTTGTGGTGTGTGTATTCAACTCACAGAGTTGAACCTTCCTTCAGAAAGAGCAGATTTGAAACACTCTTTTTGTGGAGTTTCCATGTGGAGATTTCAATCGCATTGAGACCAAAGGTAGAAAAGGAAACATCTTCGTATAAAAACTAGACAGAATCATTCACAGAAACTACTTTGTGATGTGTGTGTTCAACTCAAGGAGTTTAACCTTTCTTTTGGTGGAGGAGTTTGGAAACACTCTGTCTGTAAAGTCTGCAAGCAGATATTTGGACCTCTTTGAGGCCTTCGTTGGAAACGGGATTTCTTCATATAATGTTTGATAGGAGAAGTCTCAGTAACTTCTTTGTGCTGTGTGTATTCAACTCATAGAGTTGAACTTTCCTTTAGAAGAGCAGATGTTAAACACCCTTTTTGTGGAATTTGCAGCTGGAGATTTCAAGCGCTTTGAGGCCTACGGTAGAAAAGGAAACATCTTCTTATAAAATCTAGACAGAATCATTCACAGAAACTACTTTGTGATGTGTCTGTTCAACTCACACAGTTTAAACTTTCTTTTGATGGAGCAGTTTGGAAACACTCTGTTTGTCACGTCTGCAAGTGGATATTTGGTCCTCTTTGTGGCCTTCGTTGGAAACGGGATTTCTTCATACAATGTTAGACAGAAGAATTCTCAGTAACTTATTTGTGGTGTGTGTATTCAACTCACAGAGTTGAACCTTCCTTTAGACAGAGCAGATTTGAAACACCCTATTTGTGCAGTTTCCAGTTGGAGATTTCAATCGCTTTGAGACCAAATGTAGAAAAGGAAACATCTTCGTATAAAAACTAGACAGAATCATTCTCAGAAACTACTTTGTGATGTGTGCGTTCAACTCAAGGAGTTTAAGCTTTCTTTTCATAGAGTAGTTTGGAAACACTCTGTCTGTAAAGTCTGCAAGCAGATATTTGACCTCTTTGAGGCCTTCGTTGGAAACGGGATTTCTTCATAGAACGCTAGAAAGAAGAATACTGAGTAAGTTCTTTGTGTTGCCTCTATTCAACTCACAGAGGTGAACTGTCCTTTAGACAGAGCAGATGTGAAACCCTCTTTTTGTGATATTTGCAGGTGGAGATTTCAAGCGCTTTTAGGCCAAATGTAGAAAAGGAAATATCTTCGTATAAAAACTAGACAGAATCATTCTCAGAAACTACTTTGTGATGTGTGCGTACAATTCACAGAGTATAACCTTTCTTTTGATGGAGGAGTTTGGAGACACTGTCTTTGTAAAGTCTGCGTGTGGATATTTGGACCTCTTTGAGGTCTTCGTTGGAAACGGGATTTCCTCATATAATGTTACACAGAAGAATTCTCAGTAACTTATTTGTGGTGTGTGTATTCAACTCACAGAGTTGAACCTTCCTTCAGAAAGAGCAGATTTGAAACACTCTTTTTGTGGAGTTTCCATGTGGAGATTTCAATCGCTTTGAGACCAAAGGTAGAAAAGGAAACATCTTCGTATAAAAACTAGACAGAATCATTCACAGAAAGTACTTTGAGATGTGTGTGTTCAACTCACAGAGTTTAACCTTTGTTTTGATGGAGCAGTTTGGAAACACTCTGTTTTTCACGTCTGCAAGTGGATATTTGGACCTCTTTGAGGCCTTCGTTGTAAACGGGATTTCTTCATATAATGTTTGATAGGAGAAGTCTCAGTAACTTCTTTGTGCTGTGTGTATTCAACTCATAGAGTTGAACTTTCCTTTAGAAGAGCACATGTTAAACACCCTTTTTGTGGAATTTGCAGCCGGAGATTTCAAGCGCTTTGAGGCCTACGGTAGAAAAGGAAACATCTTCTTATAAAATCTAGACAGAATCATTCACAGAAACTTCTTTTCGATGTGTGTGTTCAGCTCACAGAGTTTAACCTTTCTTTTGATGGAGCAGTTTGGAAACACTCTGTTTGTAATGTCTGCAAGTGGATATTTGGACCTCTTTGAGGCCTTCGTTGGAAACGGGATTTCTTCAAGTAATGTTCGACAGAAGAATTCTCAGTAACTTATTTGTGGTGTGTGTATTCAACTCACAGAGTTGAACCTTCCTTTAGACAGAGCAGATTTGAAACACCCTATTTGTGCAGTTTCCAGTTGGAGATTTCAATCGCTTTGAGACCAAATGTAGAAAAGGAAACATCTTCGTATAAAAACTAGACAGAATCATTCTCAGAAACTACTTTGTGATGTGTGCGTTCAACTCAAGGAGTTTAAGCTTTCTTTTCATAGAGTAGTTTGGAAACACTCTGTCTGTAAAGTCTGCAAGCAGATATTTGACCTCTTTGAGGCCTTCGTTGGAAACGGGATTTCTTCATAGAACGCTAGAAAGAAGAATACTGAGTAAGTTCTTTGTGTTGCCTCTATTCAACTCACAGAGGTGAACTGTCCTTTAGACAGAGCAGATGTGAAACCCTCTTTTTGTGATATTTGCAGGTGGAGATTTCAAGCGCTTTTAGGCCAAATGTAGAAAAGGAAATATCTTCGTATAAAAACTAGACAGAATCATTCTCAGAAACTACTTTGTGATGTGTGCGTTCAATTCACAGAGTATAACCTTTCTTTTGATGGAGGAGTTTGGAGACACTGTCTTTGTAAAGTCTGCAAGTGGATATTTGGACCTCTTTGTGGCCTTCGTTGGAAACGGGATTTCCTCATATAATGTTACACAGAAGAATTCTCAGTAACTTATTTGTGGTGTGTGTATTCAACTCACAGAGTTGAACCTTCCTTCAGAAAGAGCAGATTTGAAACACTCTTTTTGTGGAGTTTCCATGTGGAGATTTCAATCGCTTTGAGACCAAAGGTAGAAAAGGAAACATCTTTGTATAAAAACTAGACAGAATCATTCACAGAAACTACTTTGTGATGTGTGTGTTCAACTCAAGGAGTTTAACCTTTCTTTTGATGGAGCAGTTTGGAAACACTCTGTCTGTAAAGTCTGCAAGCAGATATTTGGACCTCTTTGAGGCCTTCGTTGGAAATGGGATTTCTTCATATAATGTTTGATAGGAGAAGTCTCAGTAACTTCTTTGTGCTGTGTGTATTCAACTCATAGAGTTGAACTTTCCTTTAGAAGAACAGATGTTAAAAACCCTTTTTGTGGAATTTGCAGCTGGAGATTTCAAGCGCTTTGAGTCCTACGGTAGAAAAGGAAACATCTTCTTATAAAATCTAGACAGAATCATTCACAGAAACTTCTTTTTGATGTGTGTGTTCAGCTCACAGTGTTTAACCTTTCTTTTGATGGAGCAGTTTGGAAACACTCTGTTTGTAATGTCTGCAAGTGGATATTTGGACCTCTTTGAGGCCTTCATTGGAAACGGGATTCTTCAAGTAATGTTCGACAGAAGAATTCTCAGTAACTTATTTGTGGTGTGTGTATTCAACTCACAGAGTTGAACCTTCCTTTAGACAGAGCAGATTTGAAACACCCTATTTGTGCAGTTTCCAGTTGGAGATTTCAATCGCTTTGAGACCAAATGTAGAAAAGGAAACATCTTCGTATAAAAACTAGACAGAATCATTCTCAGAAACTACTTTGTGATGTGTGCATTCAACTCAAGGAGTTTAAGCTTTCTTTTCATAGAGTAGTTTGGAAACACTCTGTCTGTAAAGTCTGCAAGCAGATATTTGGACCTCTTTGGGGCCTTCGTTGGAAACGGGATTTCTTCATACAACGCTAGAAAGAAGAATACTGAGTAAGTTCTTTGTGTTGCCTCTATTCAACTCACAGAGGTGAACTGTCCTTTAGACAGAGCAGATGTGAAACCCTCTTTTTGTGATATTTGCAGGTGGAGATTTCAAGCGCTTTTAGGCCAAATGTAGAAAAGGAAATATCTTCGTATAAAAACTAGACAGAATCATTCTCAGAAACTACTTTGTGATGTGTGCGTTCAATTCACAGAGTATAACCTTTCTTTTGATGGAGGAGTTTGGAGACACTGTCTTTGTAAAGTCTGCAAGTGGATATTTGGACCTCTTTGAGGCCTTCTTTGGAAACGGGATTTCCTCATATAATGTTACACAGAAGAATTCTCAGTAACTTATTTGTGGTGTGTGTATTCAACTCACAGAGTTGAACCTTCCTTAAGAAAGAGCAGATTTGAAACACTCTTTTTGTGGAGTTTCCATGTGGAGATTTCAATCGCTTTGAGACCAAAGGTAGAAAAGGAAACATCTTCGTATAAAAACTAGACAGAATCATTCACAGAAACTACTTTGTGATGTGTGTGTTCAACTCAAGGAGTTTAACCTTTCTTTTGATGGAGCAGTTTAAAAACACTCTGTCTGTAAAGTCTGCAAGCAGATATTTGGACCTCTTTGAGGCCTTCGTTGGAAACGGGATTTCTTCATAGAACGCTAGAAAGAAGAATACTGAGTAAGTTCTTTGTGTTGCCTCTATTCAACTCACAGAGGTGAACTGTCCTTTAGACAGAGCAGATGTGAAACCCTCTTTTTGTGATATTTGCAGGTGGAGATTTCAAGCGCTTTTAGGCCAAATGTAGAAAAGGAAATATCTTCGTATAAAAACTAGACAGAATCATTCTCAGAAACTACTTTGTGATGTGTGCGTTCAATTCACAGAGTATAACCTTTCTTTTGATGGAGGAGTTTGGAGACACTGTCTTTGTAAAGTCTGCAAGTGGATATTTGGATCTCTTTGAGGCCTTCGTTGGAAACGGGATTTCCTCATATAATGTTACACAGAAGAATTCTCAGTAACTTATTTGTGGTGTGTGTATTCAACTCACAGAGTTGAACCTTCCTTCAGAAAGAGCAGATTTGAAACACTCTTTTTGTGGAGTTTCCATGTGGAGATTTCAATCGCTTTGAGACCAAAGGTAGAAAAGGAAACATCTTCTTATAAAAACTAGACAGAATCATTCACAGAAACTACTTTGTGATGTGTGTGTTCTACTCAAGGAGTTTAACCTTTCTTTTGATGGAGCAGTTTGGAAACACTCTGTCTGTAAAGTCTGCAAGCAGATATTTGGACCTCTTTGAGGCCTTCGTTGGAAACGGGATTTCATCATATAATGTTTGATAGGAGAAGTCTCAGTAACTTCTTTGTGCTGTGTGTATTCAACTCATAGAGTTGAACTTTCCTTTAGAAGAGCAGATGTTAAACACCCTTTTAGTGGAATTTGCAGCTGGAGATTTCAAGCGCTTTGAGGCCTACGGTAGAAAAGGAAACATCTTCTTATAAAATCTAGACAGAATCATTCACAGAAACTTCTTTTTGATGTGTGTGTTCAGCTCACAGAGTTTAACCTTTCTTTTGATGGAGCAGTTTGGAAACACTCTGTTTGTAATGTCTGCAAGTGGATATTTGGACCTCCTTTGAGGCCTTCGTTGGAAACGGGATTTCTTCAAGTAATGTTCGACAGAAGAATTCTCAGTAACTTATTTGTGGTGTGTGTATTCAACTCACAGAGTTGAACCTTCCTTTAGACAGAGCAGATTTGAAACACCCTATTTGTGCAGTTTCCAGTTGGAGATTTCAATCGCTTTGAGACCAAATGTAGAAAAGGAAACATCTTCGTATAAAAACTAGACAGAATCATTCTCAGAAACTACTTTGTGATGTGTGCGTTCAACTCAAGGAGTTTAAGCTTTCTTTTCATAGAGTACTTTGGAAACACTCTGTCTGTAAAGTCTGCAAGCAGATATTTGGACCTCTTTGGGACCTTCGTTGGAAACGGGATTTCTTCATAGAACGCTAGAAAGAAGAATACTGAGTAAGTTCTTTGTGTTGCCTCTATTCAACTCACAGAGGTGAACTGTCCTTTAGACAGAGCAGATGTGAAACCCTCTTTTTGTGATATTTGCAGGTGGAGATTTCAAGCGCTTTTAGGCCAAATGTAGAAAAGGAAATATCTTCGTATAAAAACTAGACAGAATCATTCTCAGAAACTACTTTGTGATGTGTGCGTTCAATTCACAGAGTATAACCTTTCTTTTGATGGAGGAGTTTGGAGACACTGTCTTTGTAAAGTCTGCAAGTGGATATTTGGATCTCTTTGAGGCCTTCGTTGGAAACGGGATTTCCTCATATAATGTTACACAGAAGAATTCTCAGTAACTTATTTGTGGTGTGTGTATTCAACTCACAGAGTTGAACCTTCCTTCAGAAAGAGCAGATTTGAAACACTCTTTTTGTGGAGTTTCCATGTGGAGATTTCAATCGCTTTGAGACCAAAGGTAGAAAAGGAAACATCTTCGTATAAAAACTAGACAGAATCATTCACAGAAACTACTTTGTGATGTGTGTGTTCAACTCAAGGAGTTTAACCTTTCTTTTGATGGAGCAGTTTGGAAACACTCTGTCTGTAAAGTCTGCAAGCAGATATTTGGACCTCTTTGAGGCCTTCGTTGGAAACGGGATTTCTTCATATAATGTTTGATAGGAGAAGTCTCAGTAACTTCTTTGTGCTGTGTGTATTCAACTCAAAGAGTTGAACTTTCCTTTAGAAGAGCAGATGTTAAACACCCTTTTTGTGGAATTTGCAGCTGGAGATTTCAAGCGCTTTGAGGCCTACGGTAGAAAAAGAAACATCTTCTTATAAAATCTAGACAGAATCATTCACAGAAACTTCTTTTTGATGTGTGTGTTCAGCTCACAGAGTTTAACCTTTCTTTTGATGGAGCAGTTTGGAAACACTCTGTTTGTAATGTCTGCAAGTGGATATTTGGACCTCTTTGAGGCCTTCGTTTGGAACGGGATTTCTTCATGTAATGTTCGACAGAAGATTTCTCAGTAACTTATTTGTGTTGTGTGTATTCAACTCACAGAGTTGAACCTTCCTTTAGACAGAGCAGATTTGAAACACCCTATTTGTGCAGTTTCCAGTTGGAGATTTCAATCGCTTTGAGACCAAATGTAGAAAAGGAAACATCTTCGTATAAAAACTAGACAGAATCATTCTCAGAAACTACTTTGTGATGTGTGCGTTCAACTCAAGGGAGTTTAAGCTTTCTTTTCATAGAGTAGTTTGGAAACACTCTGTCTGTAAAGTCTGCAAGCAGATATTTGGACCTCTTTGGGGCCTTCGTTGGAAACGGGATTTCTTCATAGAACGCTAGAAAGAAGAATACTGAGTAAGTTCTTTGTGTTGCCTCTATTCAACTCACAGAGGTGAACTGTCCTTTAGACAGAGCAGATGTGAAACCCTCTTTTTGTGATATTTGCAGGTGGAGATTTCAAGCGCTTTTAGGCCAAATGTAGAAAAGGAAATATCTTCGTATAAAAACTAGACAGAATCATTCTCATAAACTACTTTGTGATGTGTGCGTTCAATTCACAGAGTATAACCTTTCTTTTGATGGAGGAGTTTGGAGACACTGTCTTTGTAAAGTCTGCAAGCAGATATTTGGACCTCTTTGAGGCCTTCGTTGGAAACGGGATTTCTTCATATGATGTTTGATAGGAGAATTCTCAGTAACTTATTTGTGGTGTGTGTATTCAACTCACAGAGTTGAACCTTCCTTCAGAAAGAGCAGATTTGAAACACTCTTTTTGTGGAGTTTCCATGTGGAGATTTCAATCGCTTTGAGACCAAAGGTAGAAAAGGAAACATCTTCGTATAAAAACTAGACAGAATCATTCACAGAAACTACTTTGTGATGTGTGTGTTCAACTCAAGGAGTTTAACCTTTCTTTTGATGGAGCAGTTTGGAAAAACTCTGTCTGTAAAGTCTGCAAGCAGATATTTGCACCTCTTTGGGGCCTTCGTTGGAAACGGGATTTCTTAATAGAATGCTAGAAAGAAGAAGTCTCAGTAACTTCTTTGTGCTGTGTGTATTCAACTCAGAGAGTTGAACTTTCCTTTAGAAGAGTAGATGTTAAACACCCTTTTTGTGGAATTTGCAGCCGGAGATTTCAAGCGCTTTGAGGCCTACGGTAGAAAAGGAAACATCTTCTTATAAAATCTAGACAGAATCATTCACAGAAACTTCTTTTTGATGTGTGTGTTCAGCTCACAGAGTTTAACCTTTCTTTTGATGGAGCAGTTTGGAAACACACTGTTTGTAATGGCTGCAAGTGGATATTTGGACCTCTTTGAGGCCTTTGTTGGAAAAGGGATTTCTTCATGTAGTGTTCGACAGAAGAATTCTCAGTAACTTATTTGTGGTGTGTGTATTCAACTCACAGAGTTGAACCTTCCTTTAGACAGAGCAGATTTGAAACACCCTATTTGTGCAGTTTCCAGTTGGAGATTTCAATCGCTTTGAGACCAAATGTAGAAAAGGAAACATCTTCGTATAAAAACTAGACAGAATCATTCTCAGAAACTACTTTGTGATGTGTGCGTTCAACTCAAGGAGTTTAAGCTTTCTTTTCATAGAGTAGTTTGGAAACACTCTGTCTGCAAAGTCTGCAAGCAGATATTTGGACCTCTTTGGGGCCTTCGTTGGAAACGGGATTTCTTCATAGAACGCTAGAAAGAAGAATACTGAGTAAGTTCTTTGTGTTGCCTCTATTCAACTCACAGAGGTGAACTGTCCTTTAGACAGAGCAGATGTGAAACCCTCTTTTTGTGATATTTGCAGGTGGAGATTTCAAGCGCTTTTAGGCCAAATGTAGAAAAGGAAATATCTTCGTATAAAAACTAGACAGAATCATTCTCAGAAACTACTTTGTGATGTGTGCGTTCAATTCATAGAGTATAACCTTTCTTTTGATGGAGAAGTTTGGAGACACTGTCTTTGTAAAGTCTGCAAGTGGATATTTGGACCTCTTTGAGGCCTTCGTTGGAAACGGGATTTCCTCATATAATGTTACACAGAAGAATTCTCAGTAACTTATTTGTGGTGTGTGTATTCAACTCACAGAGTTGAAACTTCCTTCAGAAAGAGCAGATTTGAAACACTCTTTTTGTGGAGTTTCCATGTGGAGATTTCAATCGCTTTGAGACCAAAGGTAGAAAAGGAAACATCTTCGTATAAAAACTAGACAGAATCATTCACAGAAACTACTTTGTGATGTGTGTGTTCAACTCAAGGAGTTTAACCTTTCTTTTGATGGAGCAGTTTGGAAAAACTCTGTCTGTAAAGTCTGCAAGCAGATATTTGGACCTCTTTGAGGCCTTCGTTGGAAACGGGATTTCTTCATATAATGTTTGATAGGAGAAGTCTCAAAAACTTCTTTGTGCTGTGTGTATTCAACTCATTGAGTTGAACTTTCCTTTAGAAGAGCAGATGTTAAACACCCTTTTTGTGGAATTTGCAGCTGGAGATTTCAAGCGCTTTGAGGCCTACGGAAGAACAGGAAACATCTTCTTATAAAATCTAGACAGAATCATTCACAGAAACTTCTTTTTGATGTGTGTGTTCATCTCACAGAGTTTAACCTTTCTTCTGACGGAGCAGTTTGCAAACACTGTGTTTGTCATGTCGGCAAGTAGATATTTGGAACTCTTTGAGGCCTTCGTTGGAAACGGGATTTCTTCATGTAATGTTCGAGAGAAGAATTCTCAGTAACTTATTTGTGGTGTGTGTATTCAACTCACAGAGTTGAACCTTCCTATAGACAGAGCAGATTTGAAACACCCTGTTTGTGCAGTTTCCAGTTGGAGATTTCAATCGCTTTGAGGCCAATCGTAGAAACGGAAATATCTTCGTATAAAAACAAGACAGAATCATTCTCAGAAACTACTTTGTGATGTGTGCGTTCAACTCACGGAGTTAAACTTTCTTTTCATAGAGTAGTTTGGAAACACTCTGTCTGTAAAGTCTGCAAGCAGATATTTGGACCTCTTTGAGGCCTTCGTTGGAAACGGGATTTCTTCATATAACGCTAGAAAGAAGAATACTGAGTAAGTTCTTTGTGTTGCCTCTATTCAACTCACAGAGGTGAACTGTCCTTTAGACAGAGCAGATGTGAAACCCTCTTTTTGTGATATTTGCAGGTGGAGATTTCAAGCGCTTTGAGGCCAAATGTAGAAAAGGAAATATCTTCGTATAAAAACTAGACAGAATCATTCTCAGAAACTACTTTGTGATGTGTGCGTTCAATTCACAGAGTATAACCTTTCTTTTCATGGAGGAGTTTGGAGACACTGTCTTTGTAAAGTCTGCAAGTGGATATTTGGACCTCTTGCAGGCCTTCGTTGGAAATGGGATTTCCTCATATAATGTTACACAGAAGAATTCTCAGTAACTTATTTGTGGTGTGTGTATTCAACTCACAGAGATGAACCTTCCTTCAGAAAGAGCAGATTTGAAACACTCTTTTTGTGGAGTTTCCATGTGGAGATTTCAAACGCTTTGAGACCAAAGGTAGAAAAGGAAACATCTTCGTATAAAAACTAGACAGAATCATTCACAGAAACTACTTTGTGATGTGTGTGTTCAACTCAAGGAGTTTAACCTTTCTTTTGATGGAGCAGTTTGGAAACACTCTGTCTGTAAAGTCTGCAAGCAGATATTTGGACCTCTTTGAGGCCTTCGTTGGAAACGGGATTTCTTCATATAATGTTTGATAGGAGAAGTCTCAGTAACTTCTTTGTGCTGTGTGTATTCAACTCATAGAGTTGAACTTTGCTTTAGAAGAGCAGATGTTAAACACCCTTTTTGGTGAATTTGCAGCTGGAGATTTCAAGCGCTTTGAGGCCTACGGTAGAAAAGGAAACATCTTCTTATAAAATCTAGACAGAATCATTCACAGAAACTTCTTTTTGATGTGTGTGTTCAGCTCACAGAGTTTAACCTTTCTTTTGATGGAGCAGTTTGGAAACACACTGTTTGTAATGTCTCCAAGTGGATATTTGGACCTCTTTGAGGCCTTCGTTGGAAACGGGATTTCCTCATATAATGTTACACAGAAGAATTCTCAGTAACTTATTTGTGGTGTGTGTATTCAACTCACAGAGTTGAACCTTCCCTTTAGACAGAGCAGATTTGAAACACCCTATTTGTGCAGTTTCCAGTTGGAGATTTCAATCGCTTTGAGACCAAATGTAGAAAAGGAAACATCTTCGTATAAAAACTAGACAGAATCATTCACAGAAACTACTTTGTGACGTGTGTGTTCAACTCAAGGAGTTTAACCTTTCTTTTGATGGAGCAGTTTGGAAAAACTCTGTCTGTAAAGTCTGCAAGCAGATATTTGGACGTCTTTGGGGTCTTCGTTGGAAAGGGGATTTCTTCATAGAACGCTAGAAAGAAGAATACTGAGTAAGTTCTTTGTGTTGCCTCTATTCAACTCACAGAGGTGAACTGTCCTTTAGACAGAGCAGATGTGAAACCCTCTTTTTGTGATATTTGCAGGTGGAGATTTCAAGCGCTTTTAGGCCAAATGTAGAAAAGGAAATATCTTCGTATAAAAACTAGACAGAATCATTCTCAGAAACTACTTTGTGATGTGTGCGTTCAATTCACAGAGTATAACCTTTCTTTTGATGGAGGAGTTTGGAGACACTGTCTTTGTAAAGTCTGCAAGTGGATATTTGGACCTCTTTGAGGCCTTCGTTGGAAACGGGATTTCCTCATATAATGTTACACAGAAGAATTCTCAGTAACTTATTTGTGGTGTGTGTATTCAACTCACAGAGTTGAACCTTCCTTTAGACAGAGCAGATTTGAAACACTCTTTTTGTGGAGTTTCCATGTGGAGACTTCAATTGCTTTGAGACCAAAGGTAGAAAAGGAAACATCTTCGTATAAAAACTAGACAGAATCATTCACAGAAACTACTTTGTGATGTGTGTGTTCAACTCAAGGAGTTTAACCTTTCTTTTGATGGAGCAGTTTGGAAACACTCTGTCTGTAAAGTCTGCAAGCAGATATTTGGACCTCTTTGGGGCCATCATTGGAAACGGGATTTCTTCATATAATGTTTGATAGGAGAAGTCTCAGTAACTTCTTTGTGCTGTGTGTATTCAACTCATAGAGTTGAACTTTCCTTTAGAAGAGCAGATGTTAAACACCCTTTTTGTGGAATTTGCAGCTGGAGATTTCAAGCGCTTTGAGGCCTATGGTAGAAAAGGAAACATCTTCTTATAAAATCTAGACAGAATAATTCACAGAAACTTCTTTTTGATGTGTGTGTTCAACTCACCGAGTTTAACCTTTCTTTTGATGGAGCAGTTTGGAAACACTCTGTTTGTAATATCTGCAAGTGGATATTTGGACCTCTTTGGGGCCTTCGTTGGAAACGGGATTTCTTCAAGTAATGTTCGACAGAAGAATTCTCAGTAACTTATTTGTGGTGTGTGTATTCAACTCACAGAGTTGAACCTTCCTTCAGACAGAGCAGATTTGAAACACCCTATTTGTGCAGTTTCCAGTTGGAGATTTCAATCGCTTTGAGACCAAATGTAGAAAAGGAAACATCTTCGTATAAAAACTAGACAGAATCATTCTGAGAAACTACTTTGTGATGTATGCGTTCCACTCAAGGAGTTTAAGCTTTCTTTTCATAGAGTAGTTTGGAAACACTCTGTCTGTGAAGTCTGCAAGCAGATATTTGGACCTCTTTGAGGCCTTCGTTGGAAACGGGATTTCTTCATAGAACGCTAGAAAGAAGAACACTGAGTAAGTTCTTTGTGTTGCCTCTATTCAACTCACAGAGGTGAACTGTCTTTTAGACAGAGCAGATGTGAAAACCTCTTTTTGTGATATTTGCAGGTGGAGATTTCAAGCGCTTTTAGGCCAAATGTAGAAAAGGAAATATCTTCGTATAAAAACTAGACAGAATCATTCTCAGAAACTACTTTGTGATGTGTGCGTTCAATTCACAGAGTATAACCTTTCTTTTGATGGAGGAGTTTGGAGACACTGTCTTTGTAAAGTCTGCAAGTGGATATTTGGACCTCTTTGAGGCCTTCGTTGGAAACGGGATTTCCTCGTATAATGTTACACAGAAGAATTCTCAGTAACTTATTTGTGGTGTGTGTATTCAACTCACAGAGATGAACCTTCCTTCAGAAAGAGCAGATTTGAAACACTCTTTTTGTGGAGTTTCCATGTGGAGATTTCAATCGCTTTGAGACCAAAGGTAGAAAAGGAAACATCTTCGTATAAAAACTAGACAGAATCATTCACAGAAACTACTTTGTGATGTGTGTGTTCAACTCAAGGAGTTTAACCTTTCTTTTGATGGAGCTGTTTGGAAAAACTCTGTCTGTAAAGTCTGCAAGCAGATATTTGGACCTCTTTGGGGCCTTCGTTGGAAACGGGATTTCTTCATATAATGTTTGATAGGAGAAGTCTCAGTAACTTCTTTGTGCTGTGTGTATTCAACTCATAGAGTTGAACTTTCCTTTAGAAGAGCAGATGTTAAACACCCTTTTTGTGGAATTTGCAGCTGGAGATTTCAAGCGCTTTGAGGCCTACGGTAGAAAAGGAAACATCTTCTTATAAAATCTAGACAGAATCATTCACAGAAACTTCTTTTTGATGTGTGGGTTCAGCTCACAGAGTTTAACCTTTCTTTTGATGGAGCAGTTTGGAAACACTCTGTTTGTAATGTCTGCAAGTGGATATTTGGACCTCTTTGAGGCCTTCGTTGGAAACGGGATTTCTTCAAGTAATGTTCGACAGAAGAATTCTCAGTAACTTATTTGTGGTGTGTGTATTCAACTCACAGAGTTGAACCTTCCTTTAGACAGAGCAGATTTGAAACACCCTATTTGTGCAGTTTCCAGTTGGAGATTTCAATCGCTTTGAGACCAAATGTAGAAAAGGAAACATCTTCGTATAAAAACTAGACAGAATCATTCTCAGAAACTACTTTGTGATGTGTGCGTTCAACTCAAGAAGTTTAAGCTTTCTTTTCATAGAGTAGTTTGGAAACACTCTGTCTGTAAAGTCTGCAAGCAGATATTTGGACCTCATTGGGGCCTTCGTTGGAAACGTGATTTCTTCATAGAACGCTAGAAAGAAGAATACTGAGTAAGTTCTTTGTGTTGCCTCTACTCAACTCACAGAGGTGAACTGTCCTTTAGACAGAGCAGATGTGAAACCCTCTTTTTGTGATATTTGCAGGTGGAGACTTCAAGCGCTTTTAGGCCAAATGTAGAAAAGGAAATATCTTCGTATAAAAACTAGACAGAATCATTCTCAGAAACTACTTTGTGATGTGTGCGTTCAATTCACAGAGTATAACCTTTCTTTTGATGGAGGAGTTTGGAGACACTGTCTTTGTAAAGTCTGCAAGCAGATATTTGGACCTCTTTGAGGCCTTCGTTGGAAACGGGATTTCTTCATATAATGTTTGATAGGAGAATTCTCATTAACTTATTTGTGATGTGTGTATTCAACTCACAGAGTTGAACCTTCCTTCAGAAAGAGCAGATTTGAAACACTCTTTTTGTGGAGTTTCCATGTGGAGATTTCAATCGCTTTGAGACCAAAGGTAGAAAAGGAAACATCTTCGTATAAAAACTAGACAGAATCATTCACAGTAAACTACTTTGTGATCTGTGTGTTCAACTCAAGGAGTTTAACCTTTCTTTTGATGGAGCAGTTTGGAAACACTCTGTCTGTAAAGTCCGCAAGCAGATATTTGGACCTCTTTGAGGCCTTCGTTGGAAACGGGATTTCTTCATATAATGTTTGATAGGAGAAGTCTCAGTAACTTCTTTGTGCTGTGTGTATTCAACTCATAGAGTTGAACTTTCCTTTAGAAGAGCAGATGTTAAACACCCTTTTTGTGGAATTTGCAGCTGGAGATTTCAAGCGCTTTGAGGCCTACGGTAGAAAAGGAAACATCTTCTTATAAAATCTAGACAGAATCATTCACAGAAACTTCTTTTTGATGTGTGTGTTCAGCTCACAGAGTTTAACCTTTCTTTTGATGGAGCAGTTGGGAAACACACTGTTTGTAATGTCTGCAAGTGGATATTTGGACCTCTTTGAGGCCTTCGTTGGAAACGGGATTTCTTCCTGTAATGTTCGACAGAAGAATTCTCAGTAACTTATTTGTGTTGTGTGTATTCAACTCACAGAGTTGAACCTTCCTTTAGACAGAGCAGATTTGAAACACCCTATTTGTGCAGTTTCCAGTTGGAGATTTCAATCGCTTTGAGACCAAATGTAGAAAAGGAAACATACTTCGTATAAAAACTAGACAGAATCATTCTCCGAAACTACTTTGTGATGTGTGCGTTCAACTCAAGGAGTTTAAGCTTTCTTTTCATAGAGTAGTTTGGAAACACTCTGTCTGTAAAGTCTGCAAGCAGATATTTGGACCTCTTTGGGGCCTTCGTTGGAAACGGGATTTCTTCATAGAACGCTAGAAAGAAGAATACTGAGTAAGTTCTTTGTGTTGCCTCTATTCAACTCACAGAGGTGAACTGTCCTTTAGACAGAGCAGATGTGAAACCCTCTTTTTGTGATATTTGCAGGTGGAGATTTCAAGCGCTTTTAGGCCAAATGTAGAAAAGGAAATATCTTCGTATAAAAACTAGACAGAATCATTCTCAGAAACTACTTTGTGATGTGTGCGTTCAATTCACAGAGTATAACCTTTCTTTTGATGGAGGAGTTTGGAGACACTGTCTTTGTAAAGTCTGCAAGTGGATATTTGGACCTCTTTGAGGCCTTCGTTGGAAACGGGATTTCCTCATATAATGTTACACAGAAGAATTCTCAGTAACTTATTTGTGGTGTGTTTATTCAACTCACAGAGGTGAACCTTCCTTCAGAAAGAGCAGATTTGAAACACTCTTTTTGTGGAGTTTCCATGTGGAGATTTCAATCGCTTTGAGACCAAAGGTAGAAAAGGAAACATCTTCGTATAAAAACTAGACAGAATCATTCACAGAAACTACTTTGTGATGTGTGTGTTCAACTCAAGGAGTTTAAACTTTCTTTTGATGGAGCAGTTTGGAAACACTCTGTCTGTAAAGTCTGCAAGCAGATATTTGGACCTCTTTGAGGCCTTCGTTGGAAACGGGATTTCTTCATATAATGTTTGATAGGAGAATTCTCAGTAACTTATTTGTGGTGTGTGTATTCAACTCACAGAGTTGACCCTTCCTTCAGAAAGAGCAGATTTCAAACACTCTTTTTGTGGAGTTTCCATGTGGAGATTTCAATCGCTTTGAGACCAAAGGTAGAAAAGGAAACATCTTCGTATAAAAACGAGACAGAATCATTCACAGAAACTACTTTGTGATGTGTGTGTTCAGCTCACAGAGTTTAACCTTTCTTTTGATGGTGCAGTTTGGAAACACTCTGACAAGTCTGCAAGTGGATATTTGGACCTCTTTGAGGCCTTCGTTGGAAACGGGATTTCTTCATATAATGTTAGACAGAAGAAGTCTCAGTAACTTCTTTGTGCTGTGTGTATTCAACTCACAGAGCTGAACTTTACTTTAGACAGAGCAGATGTTAAACACACTTTTTGTGGAATTTGCAGCTGGAGATTTCTAGCGCTTTGAGGCCTATGGTAGAAAAGGAAACATCTTCTTATAAAATCTAGACAGAATCATTCACAGAAACTTCTTTTTGATGTGTGTGTTCAGCTCACAGAGTTTAACCTTTCTTTTGATGGAGCAGTTTGGAAACACTCTGTTTGTAATGTCTGCAAGTGGATATTTGGACCTCTTTGAGGCCTTCTTTGGAAACGGGATTTCTTCAAGTAATGTTCGACAGAAGAATTCTCAGTAACTTATTTGTGGTGTGTGTATTCAACTCACAGAGCTGAACCTTCCTTTAGACAGAGCAGATTTGAAACAGCCTATTTGTGCAGTTTCCAGTTGGAGATTTCAATCGCTTTCAGACCAAATGTAGAAAAGGAAACATCTTCGTATAAAAACTAGACAGAATCATTCTCAGAAACTACTTTGTGATGTGTGCGTTCAACTCAAGGAGTTTAAGCTTTCTTTTCATCGAGTAGTTTGGAAACACTCTGTCTGCAAAGTCTGCAAGCAGATATTTGGACCTCTTTGGGGCCTTCGTTGGAAACGGGATTTCTTCATAGAACGCTAGAAAGAAGAATACTGAGTAAGTTCTTTGTGTTGCCTCTATTCAACTCACAGAGGTGAACTGTCCTTTAGACAGAGCAGATGTGAAACCCTCTTTTTGTGATATTTGCAGGTGGAGATTTCAAGCGCTTTTAGGCCAAATGTAGAAAAGGAAATATCTTCGTATAAAAACTAGACAGAATCATTCTCAGAAACTACTTTGTGATGTGTGCGTTCAATTCACAGAGTATAACCTTTCTTTTGATGGAGGAGTTTGGAGACACTGTCTTTGTAAAGTCTGCAAGTGGATATTTGGACCTCTTTGAGGCCTTCGTTGGAAACGGGATTTCCTCATATAATGTTACACAGAAGAATTCTCAGTAACTTATTTGTGGTGTGTGTATTCAACTCACAGAGTTGAACCTTCCTTCAGAAAGAGCAGATTTGAAACACTCTTTTTGTGGAGTTTCCATGTGGAGATTTCAATCGCTTTGAGACCAAAGGTAGAAAAGGAAACATCTTCGTATAAAAACTAGACAGAAACATTCACAGAAACTACTTTGTGATGTGTGTGTTCAACTCAAGGAGTTTAACCTTTCTTTTGATGGAGCAGTTTGGAAACACTCTGTCTGTAAAGTCTGCAAGCAGATATTTGGACCTCTTTGAGGCCTTCGTTGGAAACGGGATTTCTTCATATAATGTTTGATAGGAGAAGTCTCAGTAACTTCTTTGTGCTGTGTGTATTCAACTCATAGAGTTGAACTTTCCTTTAGAAGAGCAGATGTTAAACACCCTTTTTGTGGAATTTGCAGCTGGAGATTTCAAGCGCTTTGAGGCCTACGGTAGAAAAGGAAACATCTTCTTATAAAATCTAGACAGAATCATTCACAGAAACTTCTTTTTGATGTGTGTGTTCAGCTCACAGAGTTTAACCTTTCTTTTGATGGAGCAGTTTGGAAACACTCTGTTTGTAATGTCTGCAAGTGGATATTTGGACGTCTTTGAGGCCTTCGTTGGAAACGGGATTTCTTCATGTAATGTTCGACAGAAGAATTCTCAGTAACTTATTTGTGGTGTGTGTATTCAACTCACAGAGTTGAACCTTCCTTTAGACAGAGCAGATTTGAAACAGCCTATTTGTGCAGTTTCCAGTTGGAGATTTCAATCGCTTTGAGACCAAATGTAGAAAAGGAAACATCTTCGTATAAAAACTAGACAGAATCATTCTCAGAAACTACTTTGTGATGTGTGCGTTCAACTCAAGGAGTTTAAGCTTTCTTTTCATAGAGTAGTTTGGAAACACTCTGTCTGTAAAGTCTGCAAGCAGATATTTGGACCTCTTTGAGGCCTTCGTTGGAAACGGGATTTCTTCATAGAACGCTAGAAAGAAGAATACTGAGTAAGTTCTTTGTGTTGCCTCTATTCAACTCACAGAGGTGAACTGTCCTTTAGACAGAGCAGATGTGAAACCCTCTTTTTGTGATATTTGCAGGTGGAGATTTCAAGCGCTTTTAGGCCAAATGTAGAAAAGGAAATATCTTCGTATAAAAACTAGACAGAATCCTTCTCAGAAACTACTTTGTGATGTGTGAGTTCAATTCACAGAGTATAACCTTTCTTTTGATGGAGGAGTTTGGAGACACTGTCTTTGTAAAGTCTGCATGTGGATATTGGGACCTCTTTGAGGCCTTCGTTGGAAATGGGATTTCCTCATATAATGTTACACAGAAGAATTCTCAGTAACTTATTTGTGGTGTGTGTATTCAACTCACAGAGTTGAACCTTCCTTCAGAAAGAGCAGATTTGAAACACTCTTTTTGTGGAGTTTCCATGTGGAGATTTCAATCGCTTTGAGACCAAAGGTAGAAAAGGAAACATCTTCGTATAAAAACTAGACAGAATCATTCACAGAAACTACTTTGTGATGTGTGTGTTCAACTCACAGAGTTTAACCTTTCTTTTGATGCAGTAGTTTGGAAACACTCTGTTTGTCACGTCTGCAAGTGGATATTTGGACCTCTTTGAGGCCTTCGTTAGAAACGGGATTTCTTCATATAATGTTTGATAGGAGAAGTCTTAGTAACTTCTTTGTGCTGTGTGTATTCAACTCATAGAGTTGAACTTTCCTTTAGAAGAGCAGATGTTAAACACCCTTTTGGTGGAATTTGCAGCTGGAGATTTCAAGCGCTTTGAGGCCTACGGTAGAAAAGGAAACATCTTCTTATACAATCTAGACAGAATCATTCACAGAAACTTCTTTTTGATGTGTGTGTTCAGCTCACAGAGTTTAACCTTTCTTTTGATGGAGCAGTTTGGAAACACACTGTTTGTAATGTCTGCAAGTGGACATTTGGACCTCTTTGAGGCCTTCGTTGGAAACGGGATTTCTTCATGTAATGTTCGACAGAAGAATTCTCAGTAACTTATTTGTGGTGTGTGTATTCAACTCACAGGGTTGAACCTTCCTTTAGACAGAGCAGATTTGAAACACCCTATTTGTGCAGTTTCCAGTTGGAGATTTCAATCGCTTTGAGACCAAATGTAGAAAAGGAAACATCTTCGTATAAAAACTAGACAGAATAATTCTCAGAAACTACTTTGTGATGTGTGCGTTCAACTCAAGGAGTTTAAGCTTTCTTTTCATAGAGTAGTTTGGAAACACTCTGTAAGGTCTGCAAGCAGATATTTGGACCTCTTTGAGGCCTTCGTTGGAAACGGGATTTCTTCATAGAACGCTAGAAAGAAGAATACTGAGTAAGTTCTTTGTGTTGCCTCTATTCAACTCACAGAGGTGAACTGTCCTTTAGACAGAGCAGATGTGAAACCCTCTTTTTGTGATATTTGCAGGTGGAGATTTCAAGCGCTTTTAGGCCAAATGTAGAAAAGGAAATATCTTTGTATAAAAACTAGACAGAATCATTCTGAGAAACTACTTTGTGATGTGTGCGTTCAATTCACAGAAGTATAACCTTTCTTTTGATGGAGGAGTTTGGAGACACTGTCTTTGTAAAGTCTGCAAGTGGATATTTGGACCTCTTAGAGGCCTTCGTTGGAAACGGGATTTCCTCATATAATGTTACACAGAAGAATTCTCAGTAACTTATTTGTGGTGTGTGTATTCAACTCACAGAGTTGAACCTTCCTTCAGAAAGAGCAGATTTGAAACACTCTTTTTGTGGAGTTTCCATGAGGAGATTTCAATCGCTTTGAGACCAAAGGTAGAAAAGGAAACATCTTCGTATAAAAACTAGACAGAATCATTCACAGAAACTTCTTTTTGATGTGTGTGTTCAGCTCACAGAGTTTAACCTTTCTTTTGATGGAGCAGTTTGCAAACGCTCTGTTTCTAATGTCTGCAAGTGGATATTTGGACCTCTTTGAGGCCTTCGTTGGAAACGGGATTTCTTCAAGTAATGTTCGACAGAAGGATTCTCAGTAACTTATTTGTGGTGTGTGTATTCAACTCACAGAGTTGAACCTTCCTTTAGACAGAGCAGATTTGAAACACCCTATTTGTGCAGTTTCCAGTTGGAGATTTCAATCGCTTTGAGGCCAATCATAGAAACGGAAATAACCTTGTATAAAAACAAGACAGAATCATTCTCAGAAACAACTTTGTGATGTGTGCGTTCAACTCAAGGAGTTTAAGCTTTCTTTTCATAGAGTAGTTTGGAAACACTCTGTCTGTAAAGTCTGCAAGCAGATATTTGGACCTCTTTGAGGCCTTCGTTGGAAACGGGATTTCTTCATAGAACGCTAGAAAGAAGAATACTGAGTACGTTCTTTGTGTTGCCTCTATTCAACTCACAGAGGTGAACTGTCCTTTAGACAGAGCAGATGTGAAACCCTCTTTTTGTGATATTTGCAGGTGGAGATTTCAAGCGCTTTTAGGCCAAATGTAGAAAAGGAAATATCTTCGTATAAAAACTAGACAGAATCATTCTCAGAAACTACTTTGTGATGTGTGCGTTCAATTCACAGAGTATAACCTTTCTTTTGATGGAGGAGTTTGGAGACACTGTCTTTGTAAAGTCTGCAAGTGGATATTTGGACTTCTTTGAGGCCTTCGTTGGAAACGGGATTTCCTCATATAATGTTACACAGAAGAATTCTCAGTAACTTATTTGTGGTGTGTGTATTCAACTCACAGAGATGAACCTTCCTTCAGAAAGAGCAGATTTGAAACACTCTTTTTGTGGAGTTTCCATGTGGAGATTTCAATCGCTTTGAGACCAAAGGTAGAAAAGGAAACATCTTCGTATAACAACTAGACAGAATCATTCACAGAAACTACTTTGTGATGTGTGTGTTCAACTCAAGGAGTTTAACCTTTCTTTTGATGGAGCAGTTTGGAAACACTCTGTCTGTAAAGTCTGCAAGCAGATATTTGGACCTCTTTGAGGCCTTCGTTGGAAACGGGATTTCTTCATATAATGTTTGATAGGAGAAGTCTCAGTAACTTCTTTGTGCTGTGTGTATTCAACTCATAGAGTTGAACTTTCCTTTAGAAGAGCAGATGTTAAACACCCTTTTTGTGGAATTTGCAGCTGGAGATTTCAAGCGCTTTGAGGCCTACGGTAGAAAAGGAAACATCTTCTTATAAAATCTAGACAGAATCATTCACAGAAACTTCTTTTTGATGTGTGTGTTCAGCTCACAGAGTTTAACCTTTCTTTTGATGGAGCAGTTTGGAAACACTCTGTTTGTAATGTCTGCAAGTGGATATTTGGACCTCTTTGAGGCCTTCGTTGGAAACGGGATTTCTTCAAGTAATGTTCGGGAGAAGAATTCTCAGTAACTTATTTGTGGTGTGTGTATTCAACTCACAGAGTTGAACCTTCCTTTAGACAGAGCAGATTTGAAACAGCCTATTTGTGCAGTTTCCAGTTGGAGATTTCAATCGCTTTGAGACCAAATGTAGAAAAGGAAACATCTTCGTATAAAAACTAGACAGAATCATTCCCAGAAACTACTTTGTGATGTGTGCGTTCAACTCAAGGAGTTTAAGCTTTCTTTTCATAGAGTAGTTTGGAAACACTCTGTCTCTAAAGTCTGCAAGCAGATATTTGGACCTCTTTGGGGCCCTTCGTTGGAAACGGGATTTCTTCATAGAACGCTAGAAAGAAGAATACTGAGTAAGTTCTTTGTGTTGCCTCTATTCAACTCAGAGAGGTGAACTGTCCTTTAGACAGAGCAGATGTGAAACCCTCTTTTTCTGATATTTGCAGGTGGAGATTTCAAGCGCTTTTAGGCCAAATGTAGAAAAGGAAATATCTTCGTATAAAAACTAGACAGAATCATTCTCAGAAACTACTTTGTGATGTGTGCGTTCAATTCACAGAGTATAACCTTTCTTTTGATGGAGGAGTTTGGAGACACTGTCTTTCTAAAGTCTGCAAGTGGATATTTGGAACTCTTTGAGGCCTTCGTTGGAAACGGGATTTCCTCATATATGTTACACAGAAGAATTCTCAGTAACTTATTTGTGGTGTGTGTATTCAACTCACAGAGTTGAACCTTCCTTCAGAAAGAGCAGATTTGAAACACTCTTTTTGTGGAGTTTCCATGTGGAGATTTCAATCGCTTTGAGACCAAAGGTAGAAAAGGAAACATCTTCGTATAAAAACTAGACAGAATCATTCACAGAAACTACTTTGTGATGTGTGTGTTCAACTCAAGGAGTTTAACCTTTCTTTTGATGGAGCAGTTTGGAAACACTCTGTCTGTAAAGTCTGCAAGCAGATATTTGGACCTCTTTGAGGCCTTCGTTGGAAACGGGATTTCTTCATATAATGTTTGATAGGAGAAGTCTCAGTAACTTCTTTGTGCTGTGTGTATTCAACTCATAGAGTTGAACTTTCCTTTAGAAGAGCAGATGATAAACACCCTTTTTGTCGAATTTGCAGCTGGAGATTTCAAGCGCTTTGAGGCCTACGGTAGAAAAGGAAACATCTTCTTATAAAATCTAGACAGAATCATTCACAGAAACTTCTTTTTGATGTGTGTGTTCAGCTCACAGAGTTTAACCTTTCTTTTGATGGAGCAGTCTGGAAACACTCTGTTTGTAATGTCTGCAAGTGGATATTTGGACCTCTTTGAGGCCTTCGTTGGAAACGGGATTTCTTCAAGTAATGTTCGACAGAAGAATTCTCAGTAACTTATTTGTGGTGTGTGTATTCACCTCACAGAGTTGAACCTTCCTTTAGACAGAGCAGATTTGAAACACCCTATTTGTGCAGTTTCCAGTTGGAGATTTCAATCGCTTTGAGACCAAATGTAGAAAAGGAAACATCTTCGTATAAAAACTAGACAGAATCATTCTCAGAAACTACTTTGTGATGTGTGCGTTCAACTCAAGGAGTTTAAGCTTTCTTTTCATAGAGTAGTTTGGAAACACTCTGTCTGTAAAGTCTGCAAGCAGATATTTGGACCTCTTTGGGGCCTTCGTTGGAAACGGGATTTCTTCATAGAACGCTAGAAAGAAGAATACTGAGTAAGTTCTTTGTGTTGCCTCTATTCAACTCACAGAGGTGAACTGTCCTTTAGACAGAGCAGATGTGAAACCCTCTTTTTGTGATATTTGCAGGTGGAGATTTCAAGCGCTTTTAGGCCAAATGTAGAAAAGGAAATATCTTCGTATAAAAACTAGACAGAATCATTCTCAGAAACTACTTTGTGATGTGTGCGTTCAATTCACAGAGTATAACCTTTCTTTTGATGGAGGAGTTTGGAGACACTGTCTTTGTAAAGTCTGCAAGTGGATATTTGGACCTCTTTGAGGCCTTCGTTGGAAACGGGATTTCTTCAAGTAATGTTCGACAGAAGAATTCTCAGTAACTTATTTGTGGTGTGTGTATTCAACTCACAGAGTTGAACCTTCCTTCAGAAAGAGCAGATTTGAAACACTCTTTTTGTGGAGTTTCCATGTGGAGATTTCAATCGCTTTGAGACCAAAGGTAGAAAAGGAAACATCTTCGTATAAAAACTAGACAGAATCATTCACAGAAACTACTTTTTGATGTGTGTGTTCAACTCAAGGAGTTTAACCTTTCTTTTGATGGAGCAGTTTGGAAACACTCTGTCTGTAAAGTCTGCAAGCAGATATTTGGACCTCTTTGAGGCCTTCGTTGGAAACGGGATTTCTTCATATAATGTTAGACAGAAGAAGTCTCAGTAACTTCTTTGTGCTGTGTGTATTCAACTCATAGAGTTGAACTTTCCTTTAGAAGAGCAGATGTTAAACACCCTTTTTGTGGAATTTGCAGCTGGAGATTTCAAGCGCTTTGAGGCCTACGGTAGAAAAGGAAACATCTTCTTATAAAATCTAGACAGAATCATTCACAGAAACTTCTTTTTGATGTGTGTGTTCAGCTCACAGTGTTTAACCTTTCTTTTGATGGAGCAGTTTGGAAACACTCTGTTTGTAATGTCTGCAAGTGGATATTTGGACCTCTTTGAGGCCTTCGTTGGAAACGGGATTTCTTCAAGTAATGTTTGACAGAAGAATTCTCAGTAACTTATTTGTGGTGTGTGTATTCAACTCACAGAGTTGAACCTTCCTTTACACAGAGCAGATTTGAAACACCCTATTTGTGCAGTTTCCAGTTGGAGATTTCAATCGCTTTGAGACCAAATGTAGAAAAGGAAACATCTTCGTATAAAAACTAGACAGAATCATTCTCAGAAACTACTTTGTGATGTATGCATTCAACTCAAGGAGTTTAAGCTTTCTTTTCATAGAGTAGTTTGGAAACACTCTGTCTGTGAAGTCTGCAAGCAGATATTTGGACCTCTTTGAGGCCTTCGTTGGAAACGGGATTTCTTCATAGAACGCTAGAAAGAAGAATACTGAGTAAGTTCTTTGTGTTGCCTCTATTCAACTCACAGAGGTGAACTGTCTTTTAGACAGAGCAGATGTGAAACCCTCTTTTTGTGATATTTGCAGGTGGAGATTTCAAGCGCTTATCGGCCAAATGTAGAAAAGGAAATATCTTCGTATAAAAACTAGACAGAATCATTCTCAGAAACTACTTTGTGATGTGTGCGTTCAATTCACAGAGTATAACCTTTCTTTTGATGGAGGAGTTTGGAGACACTGTCTTTGTAAAGTCTGCAAGTGGATATTTGGACCTCTTTGAGGCCTTCGTTGGAAACGGGATTTCCTCATATAATGTTACACAGAAGAATTCTCAGTAACTTATTTGTGGTGTGTGTATTCAACTCACAGAGTTGAACCTTCCTTCAGAAAGAGCAGATTTGAAACCCTCTTTTTGTGGAGTTTCCATGTGGAGATTTCAATCGCTTTGAGACCAAAGGTAGAAAAGGAAACATCTTCGTATAAAAACTAGACAGAATCATTCACAGAAACTACTTTGTGATGTGTGTGTTCAACTCAAGGAGTTTAACCTTTTTTTTGATGGAGCAGTTTGGAAAAACTCTGTCTTTAAAGTCTGCAAGCAGATATTTGGACCTCTTTGAGGCCTTCGTTGGAAACGGGATTTCTTCATATAATGTTTGATAGGAGAAGTCTCAGTAACTTCTTTGTGCTGTGTGTATTCAACTCATAGAGTTGAACTTTCATTTAGAAGAGCAGATGTTAAACACCCTTTTTGTGGAATTTGCAGCTGGAGATTTCAAGCGCTTTGAGTCCTACGTTAGAAAAGGAAACATCTTCTTATAAAATCTAGACAGAATCATTCACAGAAACTTCTTTTCGATGTGTGTGTTCAGCTCACAGAGTTTAACCTTTCTTTTGATGGAGCAGTTTGGAAACACTCTGTTTGTAATGTCTGCAAGTGGATATTTGGACCTCTTTGAGGCCTTCGTTGGAAACGGGATTTCTTCAAGTAATGTTCGACAGAAGAATTCTCAGTAACTTATTTGTGGTGTGTGTATTCAACTCACAGAGTTGAGCCTTCCTTTAGACAGAGCAGATTTGAAACACCCTATTTGTGCAGTTTCCAGTTGGAGATTTCAATCGCTTTGAGACCAAATGTAGAAAAGGAAACATCTTCGTATAAAAACTAGACAGAATTATTCTCAGAAACTACTTTGTGATGTGTGCGTTCAACTCAAGGAGTTTAAGCTTTCTTTTCATAGAGTAGTTTGGAAACACTCTGTCTGTAAAGTCTGCAAGCAGATATTTGGACCTCATTGGGGTCTTCGTTGGAAACGGGATTTCTTCATAGAACGCTAGAAAGAAGAATACTGAGTAAGTTCTTTGTGTTGCCTCTATTCAACTCACAGAGGTGAACTGTCCTTTAGACAGAGCAGATGTGAAACCCTCTTTTTGTGATATTTGCACGTGGAGATTTCAAGCGCTTTTAGGCCAAATGTAGAAAAGGAAATATCTTCGTATAAAAACTAGACAGAATCATTCTCAGAAACTACTTTGTGATGTGTGCGTTCAATTCACAGAGTATAACCTTTCTTTTGATGGAGGAGTTTGGAGACACTGTCTTTGTAAAGTCTGCAAGCAGATATTTGGACCTCTTTGGGGCCTTCGTTGGAAACGGGATTTCTTCATAGAATGCTAGAAAGAAGAATACTGAGTAAGTTCTTTGTGTTGCCTCTATTCAACTCACAGAGGTGAACTGTCCTTTAGACAGAGCAGATGTGAAACCCTCTTTTTGTGATATTTGCAGGTGGAGATTTCAAGCGCTTTTAGGCCAAATGTAGAAAAGGAAATATCTTCGTATAAAAACTAGACAGAATCATTCTCAGAAACTACTTTGTGATGTGTGCGTTCAATTCACAGAGTATAACCTTTCTTTTGATGGAGGAGTTTGGAGACACTGTCTTTGTAAAGTCTGCAAGTGGATATTTGGACCTCTTTGAGGCCTTCGTTGGAAACGGGATTTCCTCATATAATGTTACACAGAAGAATTCTCAGTAACTTAATTGTGGTGTGTGTATTCAACTCACAGAGTTGATCCTTCCTTTAGACAGAGCAGATTTGAAACACTCTTTTTGTGGAGTTTCCATGTGGAGATTTCAATCGCATTGAGACCAAAGGTAGAAAAGGAAAAATCTTCGTATAAAAACTAGACAGAATCATTCACAGAAACTACTTTGTGATGTGTGTGTTCAACTCAAGGAGGTTAACCTTTCTTTTGATGGAGCAGTTTGGAAACACTCTGTCTGTAAAGTCTGCAAGCAGATATTTGGACCTCTTTGAGGCCTTCGTTGGAAACGGGATTTCTTCATATAATGTTTGATAGGAGAAGTCTCAGTAACTTCTTTGTGCTGTGTGTATTCAACTCATAGAGTTGAACTTTCCTTTAGAAGAGCAGATGTTAAACACCCTTTTTGTGGAATTTGCAGCTGGAGATTTCAAGTGCTTTGAGGCCTACGGTAGAAAAGGAAACATCTTCTTATAAAATCTAGACAGAATCATTCACAGAAACTTCTTTTTGATGTGTGTGTTCAGCTCACAGAGTTTAACCTTTCTTTTGATGGAGCAGTTTGGAAACACTCTGTTTGTAATATCTGCAAGTGGATATTTGGACCTCTTTGAGGCCTTCGTTGGAAACGGGATTTCTTCAAGTAATGTTCGACAGAAGAATTCTCAGTAACTTATTTGTGGTGTGTGTATTCAACTCACAGAGTTGAACCTTCCCTTTAGACAGAGCAGATTTGAAACACCCTATTTGTGCAGTTTCCAGTTGGAGATTTCAATCGCTTTGAGACCAAATGTAGAAAAGGAAACATCTTCGTATAAAAACTAGACAGAATCATTCTCAGAAACTACTTTGTGATGTGTGCGTTCAACTCAAGGAGTTTAAGCTTTCTTTTCATAGAGTAGTTTGGAAACACTCTGTCTGTAAAGTGTGCAAGCAGATATTTGGACCTCTTTGGGGCCTTCGTTGGAAACGGGATTTCTTCATAGAACGCTAGAAAGAAGAATACTGAGTAAGTTCTTTGTGTTGCCTCTACTCAACTCACAGAGGTGAACTGTCCTTTAGACAGAGCAGATGTGAAACCCTCTTTTTGTGATATTTGCAGGTGGAGATTTCAAGCGCTTTTAGGCCAAATGTAGAAAAGGAAATATCTTCGTATAAAAACTAGACAGAATCATTCTCAGAAACTACTTTGTGATGTGTGCGTTCAATTCACAGAGTATAACCTTTCTTTTGATGGAGGAGTTTGGAGACACTGTCTTTGTAAAGTCTGCAAGTGGATATTTGGACCTCTTTAAGGCCTTCGTTGGAAACGGGATTTCCTCATATAATGTTACACAGAAGAATTCTCAGTAACTTATTTGTGGTGTGTGTATTCAACTCACAGAGTTGAACCTTCCTTCAGAAAGAGCAGATTTGAAACACTCTTTTTGTGGAGTTTCCATGTGGAGATTTCAATCGCTTTGAGACCAAAGGTAGAAAAGGAAACATCTTCGTATAAAAACTAGACAGAATCATTCACAGAAACTACTTTGTGATGTGTGTGTTCAACTCAAGGAGTTTAACCTTTCTTTTGATGGAGCAGTTTGGAAACACTCTGTCTGTAAAGTCTGCAAGCAGATATTTGGACCTCTTTGAGGCCTTCGTTGGAAACGGGATTTCTTCATATAATGTTTGATAGGAGAAGTCTCAGTAACTTCTTTGTGCTGTGTGTATTCAACTCATAGAGTTGAACTTTCCTTTAGAAGAGCAGATGTTAAACACCCTTTTTGTGGAATTTGCAGCTGGAGATTTCAAGCGCTTTGAGGCCTACGGTAGAAAAGGAAACATCTTCTTATAAAATCTAGACAGAATCATTCACAGAAACTTCTTTTTGATGTGTGTGTTCAGCTCACAGAGTTTAACCTTTCTTTTGATGTAGCAGTTTGGAAACACTCTGTTTGTAATGTCTGCAAGTGGATATTTGGACCTCTTTGAGGCCTTCGTTGGAAACGGGATTTCTTCCTGTAATGTTCGACAGAAGAATTCTCAGTAACTTATTTGTGGTGTGTGTATTCAACTCACAGAGTTGAACCTTCCTTTAGACAGAGCAGATTTGAAACACCCTATTTGTGCAGTTTCCAGTTGGAGATTTCAATCGCTTTGAGACCAAAAGTAGAAAAGGAAACATCTTCGTATAAAAACTAGACAGAATCATTCTCCGAAACTACTTTGTGATGTGTGCGTTCAACTCAAGGAGTTTAAGCTTTCTTTTCATAGAGTAGTTTGGAAACACTCTGTCTGTAAAGTCTGCAAGCAGATATTTGGACCTCTTTGGGGCCTTCGTTGGAAACGGGATTTCTTCATAGAACGCTAGAAAGAAGAATACTGAGTAAGTTCTTTGTGTTGCCTCTATTCAACTCACAGAGGTGAACTGTCCTTTAGATAGAGCAGATGTGAAACCCTCTTTTTGTGATATTTGCAGGTGGAGATTTCAAGCGCTTTTAGGCCAAATGTATAAAAGGAAATATCTTCGTATAAAAACTAGACAGAATCATTCTCAGAAACTACTTTGTGATGTGTGCGTTGAATTCACAGAGCATAACCTTTCTTTTGATGGAGGAGTTTGGAGACACTGTCTTTGTAAAGTCTGCAAGTGGATATTTGGATCTCTTTGAGGCCTTCGTTGGAAACGGGATTTCCTCATATAATGTTACACAGAAGAATTCTCAGTAACTTATTTGTGGTGTGTGTATTCAACTCACAGAGTTGAACCTTCCTTCAGAAAGAGCAGATTTGAAACACTCTTTTTGTGGAGTTTCCATGTGGAGATTTCAATCGCATTGAGACCAAAGGTAGAAAAGGAAACATCTTCGTATAAAAACTAGACAGAATCATTCACAGAAACTACTTTGTGATGTGTGTGTTCAACTCAAGGAGGTTAACCTTTCTTTTGATGGAGCAGTTTGGAAACACTCTGTCTGTAAAGTCTGCAAGCAGATATTTGGACCTCTTTGAGGCCTTCGTTGGAAACGGGATTTCTTCATATAATGTTTGATAGGAGTCTCAGTAACTTCTTTGTGCTGTGTGTATTCAACTCATAGAGTTGAACTTTCCTTTAGAAGAGCAGATGTTAAACACCCTTTTTGTGGAATTTGCAGCTGGAGATTTCAAGCGCTTTGAGGCCTACGGTAGAAAAGGAAACATCTTCTCATAAAATCTAGACAGAATCATTCACAGAAACTTCTTTTTGATGTGTGTGTTCAGCTCCCAGAGTTTAACCTTTCTTTTGATGGAGCAGTTTGGAAACACTCTGTTCGTAATGTCTGCAAGTGGATATTTGGACCTCTTTGAGGCCTTCGTTGGAAACTGGATTTCTTCATGTAATGTTCGACAGAAGAATTCTCAGTAACTTATTTGTGGTGTGTGTATTCAACTCGCAGAGTTGAACCTTCCTTTAGACAGAGCCGATTTGAAACACACTATTTGTGCAGTTTCCAGTTGGAGATTTCAATGGCTTTGAGGCCAATCATAGAAACGGAAATATCTTCGTATAAAAACAAGACAGAATCATTCTCAGAAACTACTTTGTGATGTGTGCGTTCAACTCAAGGAGTTTAAGCTTTCTTTTCATAGAGTAGTTTGGAAACACTCTGTCTGTAAAGTCTGCAAGCAGATATTTGGACCTCTTTGAGGCCTTCGTTGGAAACGGGATTTCTTCATATAACGCTAGAAAGAAGAATACTGAGTAAGTTCTTGGTGTTGCCTCTATTCAACTCACAGAGGTGAACTGTCCTTTAGACAGAGCAGATGTGAAACCCTCTTTTTGTGATATTTGCAGGTGGAGATTTCAAGCGCTTTTAGGCCAAATGTAGAAAAGGAAATATCTTCGAATAAAAACTAGGCAGAATCATTCTCAGAAACTACTTTGTGATGTGTGCGTTCAATTCACAGAGTATAACCTTTCTTTTCATGGAGGAGTTTGGAGACACTGTCTTTGTAAAGTCTGCAAGTGGATATTTGGACCTCTTTGAGGCCTTCGTTGGAAACGGGATTTCCTCATATAATGTTACACAGAAAGAATTCTCAGTAACTTATTTGTGGTGTGTGTATTCAACTCACAGAGATGAACCTTCCTTCAGAAAGAGCAGATTTGAAACACTCTTTTTGTGGAGTTTCCATGTGGAGATTTCAATAGCTTTGAGACCAAAGGTAGAAAAGGAAACATCTTCGTATAAAAACTGGACAGAATCATTCACAGAAACTAGTTTGTGATGTGTGTGTTCAGCTCACAGAGTTTAACCTTTCTTTTGATGGTGCAGTTTGGAAACACTCTTTTTGACAAGTCTGCAAGTGGATATTTGGACCTCTTTGAGGCCTTCGTTGGAAAAGGGATTTCTTCATATAATGTTAGACAGAAGAAGTCTCAGTAACTTCTTTGTGCTGTGTGTATTCAACTCACAGAGCTGAACTTTACTTTAGACAGAGCGGATGTTAAACACACTTTTTGTGGAATTTGCAGCTGGAGATTTCTAGCGCTTTGAGGCCTATGGTAGAAAAGGAAACATCTTCTTATAAAATCCAGACAGAGTCATTCACAGAAACTTCTTTTTGATGTGTGTGTTCATCTCACAGTGTTTAACCTTTCTTTTGACGGAGCAGTTTGGAAAAACTGTGTTTGCATTGTCGGCAACTGGATATTTGGACCTCTTTGAGGCCTTCGTTGGAAACGGGATTTCTTCATGTAATGTTCGAGAGAAGAATTCTCAGTAACTTATTAGTGGTGTGTGTATTCAACTCACAGAGTTGACCCTTCCTTTAGACAGATCAGATTTGGAACTCCCTATTTGTGCAGTTTCCAGGTGGAGATTTCAATCGCTTTGAGACCAAATGTAGAAAAGGAAACATCTTCGTATAAAAACTAGACAGAATCATTCTCAGAAACTACTTTGTGATGTGTGCGTTCAAATCAAGGAGTTTAAGCTCTCTTTTCATAGAGTAGTTTGGAAACACTCTATCTGTAAAGTCTGCAAGCAGATATTTGGACCTCTTTGAGGCCTTCGTTGGAAACGGGATTTCTTCATATAACGCTAGAAAGAAGAATACTCAGTAACTTCTTTGTGTTGTCTCTATTCAACTCACAGAGGTGAACTGTCCTTTAGACAGAGCAGATGTGAAACCCTCTTTTTGTGATATTTGCAGGTGGAGATTTCAAGCGCTTTTAGGCCAAATGTAGAAAAGGAAATATCTTCGTATAAAAAGTAGACAGAATCATTCTCAGAAACTACTTTGTGATGTGTGCGTTCAATTCACAGAGTATAACCTTTCTTTTGATGGAGGAGTTTGGAGACACTGTCTTTGTAAAGTCTGCAAGTGGATATTTGGACCTCTTTGAGGCCTTTGTTGGAAACGGGATTTCCTCATATAATGTTACACAGGGAGAATTCTCAGTAACTTATTTGTGGTGTGTGTATTCAACTCACAGAGTTGAACCTTCCTTCAGAAAGAGCATATTTGAAACACTCTTTTTGTGGAGTTTCCATGTGGAGATTTCAATCGCTTTGAGACCAAAGGTAGAAAAGGAAACATCTTCGTATACAAACTAGACAGAATCATTCACAGAAACTACTTTGTGATGTGTGTGTTCAACTCAAGGAGTTTAACCTTTCTTTTGTATGGAGCAGTTTGGAAAACACTCTGTCTGTAAAGTCTGCAAGCAGATATTTGGACCTCTTTGAGGCCTTCCTTGGAAACGGGATTTCTTCACTATAATGTTTGATAGGAGAAGTCTCAGTAACTTCTTTGTGCTGTGTGTATTCAACTCATAGAGTTGAACTTTCCTTTAGAAGACCAGATGTTAAACACCCTTTTTGTGGAATTTGCAGCTGGAGATTTCAAGCGCTTTGAGGCCGACGGTAGAAAAGGAAACATCTTCTTATAAAATCTAGACAGAATCATTCACAGAAACTTCTTTTTGATGTGTGTGTTCAGCTCACAGAGTTTAACCTTTCTTTTGATGGAGCAGTTTGGAAACACTCTGTTTGTAATATCTGCAAGTGGATATTTGGACCTCTTTGAGGCCTTCGTTGGAAACGGGATTTCTTCAAGTAATGTTCGACAGAAGAATTCTCAGTAACTTATTTGTGGTGTGTGTATTCAACTCACAGAGTTGAACCTTCCTTTAGACAGAGCAGATTTGAAACACCCTGTTTGTGCAGTTTCCAGTTGGAGATTTCAATCGCTTTGGGGCCAATCGTAGAAACGGAACTATCTTCGTATAAAAACAAGACAGAATCATTCTCAGAAACTACTTTGTGATGTGTGCGTTCAACTCACGGATTTTAAGCTTTCTTTTCATATAGTAGTTTGGAAACACTTTGTCTGTAAAGTCTGCAAGCAGATATTTGGACCTCTTTGAGGCCTTCGTTGCAAACGGGATTTCTCCATATAACGCTAGAAAGAAGAATACTGAGTAAGTTCTTTGTGTTGCCTCTATTCAACTCACAGAGGTGAACTGTCCTTCAGAAAGAGCAGATGTGAAACCCTCTTTTTGTGATATTTGCAGGTGGAGATTTCAAGCGCTTTTAGGCCAAATGTAGAAAAGGAAATATCTTCATATAAAAACTAGACAGAATCATTCTCAGAAACTACTTTGTGATGTGTGCGTTCAATTCACAGAGTATAACCTTTCTTTTGATGGAGGAGTTTGGAGACACTGTCTTTGTAAAGTCTGCAAGTGGATATTTGGACCTCTTTGAGGCCTTCGTTGGAAACGGGATTTCCTCATATAATGTTACACAGAAGAATTCTCAGTAACTTATTTGTGGTGTGTGTATTGAACTCACAGAGTTGAACCTTCCTTCAGAAAGAGCAGATTTGAAACACTCTTTTTGTGGAGTTTCCATGTGGAGATTTCAATCGCTTTGAGACCAAAGGTAGAAAAGGAAACATCTTTGTATAAAAACTAGACAGAATCATTCACAGAAACTACTTTGTGATGTGTGTGTTCAACTCAAGGAGTTTAACCTTTCTTTTGATGGAGCAGTTTGGAAACACTCTGTCTGTAAAGTCTGCAAGCAGATATTTGGACCTCTTTGAGGCCTTCGTTGGAAACGGGATTTCTTCATATAATGTTTGATAGGAGAAGTCTCAGTAACTTCTTTGTGCTGTGTGTATTCAACTCATAGAGTTGAACTTTCCTTTAGAAGAGCAGATGTTAAACACCCTTTTTGTGGAATTTGCAGCTGGAGATTTCAAGCGCTTTGAGGCCTACGGTAGAAAAGGAAACATCTTCTTATAAAATCTAGACAGAATCATTCACAGAAACTTCTTTTTGATGTGTGTGTTCAGCTCACAGAGTTTAACCTTTCTTTTGATGGAGCAGTTTGGAAACACTCTGTTTGTAACGTCTGCAAGTGGATATTTGGACCTCTTTGAGGCCTTCGTTGGAAACGGGATTTCTTCAAGTAATGTTCGACAGAAGAATTCTCAGTAACTTATTTGTGGTGTGTGTATTCAACTCACAGAGTTGAACCTTCCTTTAGACAGAGCAGATTTGAAACACCCTATTTGTGCAGTTTCCAGTTGGAGATTTCAATCGCTTTGAGACCAAATGTAGAAAAGGAAACATCTTCGTATAAAAACTAGACAGGATCATTCTCAGAAACTACTTTGTGATGTGTGCGTTCAACTCAAGGAGTTTAAGCTTTCTTTTCATAGAGTAGTTTGGAAACACTCTGTAAAGTCTGCAAGCAGATATTTGGACCTCTTTGAGGCCTTCTTTGGAAAAGGGATTTCTTCATAGAACGCTAGAAAGAAGAATACTGAGTAAGTTCTTTGTGTTGCCTCTATTCAACTCACAGAGGTGAACTGTCCTTTAGACAGAGCAGATGTGAAACCCTCTTTTTGTGATATTTGCAGGTAGAGATTTCAAGCGCTCTTAGGCCAAATGTAGAAAAGGAAATATCTTCGTATAAAAACTAGACAGAATCATTCTGAGAAACTACTTTGTGAAGTGTGCGTTCAATTCACAGAGTATAACCTTTCTTTTGATGGAGGAGTTTGGAGACACTGTCTTTGTAAAGTCTGCAAGTGGATATTTGGACCTCTTTGAGGCCTTCGTTGGAAACGGGATTTCCTCATATAATGTTACACAGAAGAATTCTCAGTAACTTATTTGTGGTGTGTGTTTTCAACTCACAGAGTTGAACCTTCCTTCAGAGAGAGCAGATTTGAAACACTCTTTTTGTGGAGTTTCCATGTGGAGATTTCAATCGCTTTGAGACCAAATGTAGAAAAGGAAATATGTTCGTATAAAAACTAGACAGAATCATTCTCAGAAACTACTTTGTGATGTGTGCGTTCAACTCAAGGAGTTTAAGCTTTCTTTTCATAGAGTAGTTTGGAAACACTCTGTCTGTAAAGTCTGCAAGCAGATATTTGGACCTCTTTGAGGCCTTCGTTGGAAACGGGATTTCTTCATATGATGTTTGATAGGAGAAGTCTCAGTAACTTCTTTGTGCTGTGTGTATTCAACTCATAGAGTTGAACTTTCCTTTAGAAGAGCAGATGTTAAACACCCTTTTTGTGGAATTTGCAGCTGGAGATTTCAAGCGCTTTGAGGCCTACGGTAGAAAAGGAAACATCTTCTTATAAAATCTAGACAGAATCATTCACAGAAACTTCTTTTTGATGTGTGTGTTCAGCTCACAGAGTTTAACCTTTCTTTTGATGGAGCAGTTTGGAAACACTCTGTTTGTAACGTCTGCAAGTGGATATTTGGACCTCTTTGAGGCCTTCGTTGGAAACGGGATTTCTTCAAGTAATGTTCGACAGAAGAATTCTCAGTAACTTATTTGTGGTGTGTGTATTCAACTCACAGAGTTGAACCTTCCTTTAGACAGAGCAAATTTGAAACACCCTATTTGTGCAGTTTCCAGTTGGAGATTTCAATCGCTTTGAGACCAAATGTAGAAAAGGAAACATCTTCGTATAAAAACTAGACAGAATCATTCTCAGAAACTACTTTGTGATGTGTGCGTTCAACTCAAGGAGTTTAAGCTTTCTTTTCATAGAGTAGTTTGGAAACACTCTGTCTGTAAAGTCTGCAAGCAGATATTTGGACCTCATTGGGGTCTTCGTTGGAAACGGTATTTCTTCATAGAACGCTAGAAAGAAGAATACTGAGTAAGTTCTTTGTGTTGCCTCTATTCAACTCACAAAGGTGAACTGTCCTTTAGACAGAGCAGATGTGAAACCCTCTTTTTGTGATATTTGCAGGTGGAGACTTCAATCGCTTTTAGGCCAAATGTAGAAAAGGAAATATCTTCGTATAAAAACTAGACAGAATCATTCTCAGCAAACTACTTTGTGATGTGTGCGTTCAATTCACAGCAGTATAACCTTTCTTTTGATGGAGGAGTTTGGAGACACTGTCTTTGTAAAGTCTGCAAGTGGATATTTGGACCTCTTTGAGGCCTTCGTTGGAAACGGGATTTCCTCATATAATGTTACACAGAAGAATTCTCAGTAGCTTATTTGTGGTGTTTGTATTCAACTGACAGAGTTGAACCTTCCTTCAGAAAGAGCAGATTTGAAACAATCTTTTTGTGGAGTATCCATGTGGAGAATTCAATCGCTTTGAGACCAAAGGTAGAAAACGAATCATCTTCGTATAAAAACTAGACAGAATCATTCACAGAAACTACTTTGTGATGTGTGTGTTCAACTCAAGGAGTTTAACCTTTCTTTTGATGGAGCAGTTTGGAAACACTCTGTCTGTAAAGTCTGCAAGCAGATATTTGGACCTCTTTGAGGTCTTCCTTGGAAACGGGATTTCTTCATATAACGCTAGAAAGAAGAATACTGAATGAGTTCTTTGTTTTCCCTCTATTCAACTCACAGAGGTGAACTGTCCTTTAGACAGAGCAGATGTGAAACCCTCTTTTTGTGATATTTGCAGGTGGAGATTTCAAGCGCTTTTAGCCAAATGTAGAAAAGGAAATATCTTCGTATAAAAACTAGACAGAATCATTCTCAGAAACTACTTTGTGATGTGTGCGTTCAATTCACAGAGTAAAACCTTTCTTTTGAGGGAGGAGTTTGGAGACACGGTCTTTGAAAAGTCTGCAAGTGGATATTTGGACTTCTTTGAGGCCTTCGTTGGAAACGGGATTTCCTCAAATAATGTTACACAGAAGAATTCTCAGTAACTTATTTGTGGTGTGTGTATTCAACTCACAGAGTTGAACCTTCCTTCAGAAAGAGCAGATTTGAAACACTCTTTTTGTGGAGTTTCCATGTGGAGATTTCAATCGCTTTGAGACCAAAGGTAGAAAAGGAAACATCTTCGTATAAAAACTAGACAGAATCATTCACAGAAACTACTTTGTGATGTGTGTGTTCAACTCAAGGAGTTTAACCTTTCTTTTGATGGAGCAGTTTGGAAACACTCTGTCTGTAAAGTCTGCAAGCAGATATTTGGACCTCTTTGAGGCCTTCGTTGGAAACGGGATTTCTTCATGTAATGTTTGATAGGAGAAGTCTCAGTAACTTCTTTGTGCTGTGTGTATTCAACTCATAGAGTTGAACTTTCCTTTAGAAGAGCAGATGTTAAACACCCTTTTTGTGGAATTTGCAGCTGGAGATTTCAAGCGCTTTGAGGCCTACGGTAGAAAAGGAAACATCTTCTTATAATATCTAGACAGAATCATTCACAGAAACTTCTTTTTCATGTGTGTGTTCAGCTCACAGAGTTTAACCTTTCTTTTGATGGAACAGTTTGGAAACACTCTGTTTGTAATGTCTGCAAGTGGATATTAGGACTTCTTTGAGGCCTTCGTTGGAAACGCGATTTCTTCATATAATGATTGATAGGAGAAGTCTCAGTAACTTCTTTGTGCTGTGTGTATTCAACGCATAGAGTTGAACTTTCCTTTAGAAGAGCAGATGTTAAACACCCTTTTTGTGGAATTTGCAGCTGGAGATTTCAAGCGCTTTGTGGCCTACGGTAGAAAAGGAAACATCTTCTTATAAAATCTAGACAGAATCATTCACAGAAACTTCTTTTTGATGTGTGTGTTCAGCTCACAGAGTTTAACCTTTCTTTTGATGGAGCAGTTTGGAAACACTCTGTTTGTAATGTCTGCAAGTGGATATTTGGACCTCTTTGAGGCCTTCGTTGGAAACGGGATTTCTTCATGTAATGTTCGACAGAAGAATTCTCAGTAACTTATTTGTGGTGTGTGTATTCAACTCACAGAGTTGAACCTTCCTTTAGACAGAGCAGATTTGAAACACCCTATTTGTGCAGTTTCCAGTTGGAGATTTCAATCGCTTTGAGGCCAATCATAGAAACGGAAATATCTTTGTATAAAAACAAGACAGAATCATTCTCAGAAACTACTTTGTGATGTGTGCGTTCAACTCAAGGAGTTTAAGCTTTCTTTTCATAGAGTAGTTTGGAAACACTCTGTCTGTAAAGTCTGCAAGCAGATATTTGACCTCTTTGAGGCCTTCGTTGGAAACGGGATTTCTTCATAGAACGCTAGAAAGAAGAATACTAAGTTCTTTGTGTTGCCTCTATTCAACTCACAGAGGTGAACTGTCCTTTAGACAGAGCAGATGTGAAACCCTCTTTTTGTGATATTTGCAGGTGGAGATTTCAAGCGCTTTTAGGCCAAATGTAGAAAAGGAAATATCTTCGTATAAAAACTAGACAGAATCATTCTCAGAAACTACTTTGTGATGTGTGCGTTCAATTCACAGAGTATAACCTCTCTTGTGATGGAGGAGTTTGGAGACACTGCCTTTGTAAAGTCTGCAAGTGGATATTTGGACCTCTTTGAGGCCTTCGTTGGAAACGGGATTTCCTCATATAATGTTACACAGAAGAATTCTCAGTAACTTATTTGTGGTGTGTGTATTCAACTCACAGAGTTGAACCTTCCTTCAGAAAGAGCAGATTTGAAACACTCTTTTTGTGGAGTTTCCATGTGGAGATTTCAATCGCTTTGAGACCAAAGGTAGAAAAGGAAACATCTTCGTATAAAAACTAGACAGAATCATTCACAGAAACTACTTTGTGATGTGTGTGTTCAACTCAAGGAGTTTAACCTTTCTTTTGATGGAGCAGTTTGGAAACACTCTGTCTGTAAAGTCTGCAAGCAGATATTTGGACCTCTTTGAGGCCTTCGTTGGAAACGGGATTTCTTCATATAATGTTTGATAGGACAAGTCTCAGTAACTTCTTTGTGCTGTGTGTATTCAACTCATAGAGTTGAACTTTCCTTTAGAAGAGCAGATGTTAAACACCCTTTTTGTGGAATTTGCAGCTGGAGATTTCAAGCGCTTTGAGGCCTACGGTAGAAAAGGAAACATCTTCTTATAAAATCTAGACAGAATCATTCACAGAAACTTCTTTTTGATGTGTGTGTTCAGCTCACAGAGTTTAACCTTTCTTTTGATGGAGCAGTTTGGAAACACTCTGTTTGTAATGTCTGCAAGTGGATATTTGGACCTCTTTGAGGCCTTCGTTGGAAACGGGATTTCTTCAAGTAATGTTCGACAGAAGAATTCTCAGTAACTTATTTGTGGTGTGTGTATTCAACTCACAGAGTTGAACCTTCCTTTAGACAGAGCAGATTTGAAACACCCTATTTGTGCAGTTTCCAGTTGGAGATTTCAATCGCTTTGAGACCAAACGTAGAAAAGGAAACATCTTCGTATAAAAACTAGACAGAATCATTCTCAGAAACTACTTTGTGATGTGTGCGTTCAACTCAAGGAGTTTAATCTTTCTTTTCATAGAGTAGTTTGGAAACACTCTGTCTGTAAAGTCTGCAAGCAGATATTTGGACCTCTTTGGGGACTTCGTTGGAAACGGGATTTCTTCATAGAACGCTAGAAAGAAGAATACTGAGTAAGTTCTTTGTGTTGCCTCTATTCAACTCACAGAGGTGAACTGTCCTTTAGACAGAGCAGATGTGAAACCCTCTTTTTGTGATATTTGCAGGTGGAGATTTCAAGCGCTTTTAGGCCAAATGTAGAAAAGGAAATATCTTCGTATAAAAACTAGACAGAATCATTCTCAGAAACTACTTTGTGATGTGTGCGTTCAATTCACAGAGTATAACCTTTCTTTTGATGGAGGAGTTTGGAGACACTGTCTTTGTAAAGTCTGCAAGTGGATATTTGGACCTCTTTGAGGCCTTCGTTGGAAACGGGATTTCCTCATATAATGTTACACAGAAGAATTCTCAGTAACTTATTTGTGGTGTGTGTATTCAACTCACAGAGTTGAACCTTCCTTCAGACAGAGCAGATTTGAAACACTCTTTTTGTGGAGTTTCCATGTGGAGACTTCAATTGCTTTGAGACCAAAGGTAGAAAAGGAAACATCTTCGTATAAAAACTAGACAGAATCATTCACAGAAACTACTTTGTGATGTGTGTGTTCAACTCAAGGAGTTTAAACTTCCTTTTGATGGAGCAGTTTGGAAACACTCTGTCTGTAAAGTCTGCAAGCAGATATTTGGACCTCTTTGAGGCCTTCGTTGGAAACGGGATTTCTTCATATAATGTTTGATAGGAGAAGTCTCAGTAACTTCTTTGTGCTGTGTGTATTCAACTCACAGAGCTGAACTTTACTTTAGACAGAGCGGATGTTAAACACATTTTTTGTGGAATTTGCAGCTGGAGATTTCTAGCGCTTTGAGGCCTATGGTAGAAAAGGAAACATCTTCTTATAAAATCTAGACAGAATCATTCACAGAAACTTCTTTTTGATGTGTGTGTTCAGCTCACAGTGTTTAACCTTTCTTTTGTTGGAGCAGTTTGGAAACACACTGTTTGTAATGTCTGCAAGTGGATATTTGGACCTCTTTGAGGTCTTCGTTGGAAACGGGATTTCTTCATGTAATGTTCGACAGAAGAATTCTCAGTAACTTATTTGTGGTGTGTGTATTCAACTCACAGAGTTGAACCTTCCTTTAGACAGAGCAGATTTGAAACACCCTATTTGTGCAGTTTCCAGTTGGAGATTTCAATCGCTTTGAGACCAAATGTAGAAAAGGAAACATCTTCGTATAAAAACTAGACAGAATCATTCTCAGAAACTACTTTGTGATGTGTGCGTTCAACTCAAGGAGTTTAAGCTTTCTTTTCATAGAGTAGTTTGGAAACACTCTGTCTGTAAAGTCTGCAAGCAGATATTTGGACCTCATTGGGGCCTTCGTTGGAAACGGGATTTCTTCATAGAACGCTAGAAAGAAGAATACTGAGTACGTTCTTTGTGTTGCCTCTATTCAACTCACAGAGGTGAACTGTCCTTTAGACAGAGCAGATGTGAAACCCTCTTTTTGTGATATTTGCAGGTGGAGATTTCAAGCGCTTTTAGGCCAAATGTAGAAAAGGAAATATCTTCGTATAAAAACTAGACAGAATCATTCTCAGAAACTACTTTGTGATGTGTGCATTCAATTCACAGAGTATAACCTTTCTTTTGATGGAGGAGTTTGGAGACACTGTCTTTGTAAAGTCTGCAAGTGGATATTTGGACCTCTTTGAGGCCTTCGTTGGAAACGGGATTTCCTCATATAATGTTACACAGAAGAATTCTCAGTAACTTATTTGTGGTGTGTGTATTCAACTCACAGAGTTGAACCTTCCTTCAGAAAGAGCAGATTTGAAACACTCTTTTTGTGGAGTTTCCATGTGGAGATTTCAATCGCTTTGAGACCAAAGGTAGAAAAGGAAACATCTTCGTATAAAAACTAGACAGAATCATTCACAGAAACTACTTTGTGATGTGTGTGTTCAACTCAAGGAGTTTAACCTTTCTTTTGATGGAGCAGTTTGGAAACACTCTGTCTGTAAAGTCTGCAAGCAGATATTTGGACCTCTTTGAGGCCTTCGTTGGAAACGGGATTTCTTCATATAATGTTTGATAGGAGAAGTCTCAGTAACTTCTTTGTGCTGTGTGTATTCAACTCATAGAGTTGAACTTTCCTTTAGAAGAGCAGATGTTAAACACCCTTTTTGGGGAATTTGCAGCTGGAGGTTTCAAGCGCTTTGAGGCCTACTGTAGAAAAGGAAACATCTTCTTATAAAATCTAGACAGAATCATTCACAGAAACTTCTTTTTGATGTGTGTGTTCAGCTCATCGAGTTTAACCTTTCTTTTGATGGAGCAGCTTGAAAACACTCTGTTTGTAATGTCTGCAAGTGGATATTTGGACCTCTTTGAGGCCTTCGTTGGAAACGGGATTTCTTCATGTAATGTTCGACAGAAGAATTCTCAGTAACTTATTTGTGGTGTGTGTATTCAACTCACAGAGTTGAACCTTCCTTTAGACAGAGCAGATTTGAAACACCCTATCTGTGCAGTTTCCAGTTGGAGATTTCAATCGCTTTGAGACCAAATGTAGAAAAGGAAACATCTTCGTATAAAAACTAGACAGAATCATTCTCAGAAACTACTTTGTTATGTGTGCATTCAACTCAAGGAGTTTAAGCTTTCTTTTCATAGAGTAGTTTGGAAACACTCTGTCTGTAAAGTCTGCAAGCAGATATTTGGACCTCTTTGAGGCCTTCGTTGGAAACGGGATTTCTTCATAGAACGCTAGAAAGAAGAATACTGAGTAAGTTCTTTGTGTTGCCTCTATTCAACTCACAGAGGTGAACTGTCCTTTAGACAGAGCAGATGTGAAACCCTCTTTTTGTGATATTTGCAGGTGGAGATTTCAAGCGCTTTTAGGCCAAATGTAGAAAAGGAAATATCTTCGTATAAAAACTAGACAGAATCATTCTCAGAAACTACTTTGTGATGTGTGCGTTCAATTCACAGAGTATAACCTTTCTTTTGATGGAGGAGTTTGGAGACACTGTCTTTGTAAAGTCTGCAAGTGGATATTTGGACCTCTTTGAGGCCTTCGTTGGAAACGGGATTTCCTCATATAATGTTACACAGAAGAATTCTCAGTAACTTATTTGTGGTGTGTGTATTTAACTCACAGAGTTGAACCTTCCTTCAGAAAGAGCAGATTTGAAACACTCTTTTTGTGGAGTTTCCATGTGGAGATTTCAATCGCTTTGAGACCAAAGGTAGAAAAGGAAACATCTTCGTATAAAAACTAGACAGAATCATTCACAGAAACTACTTTGTGATGTGTGTGTTCAACTCAAGGAGTTTAACCTTTCTTTTGATGGAGCAGTTTGGAAACACTCTGTCTGTAAAGTCTGCAAGCAGATATTTGGACCTCTTTGAGGCCTTCGTTGGAAACGGGATTTCTTCATATAATGTTTGATAGGAGAAGTCTCAGTAACTTCTTTGTGCTGTGTGTATTCAACTCATGGAGTTGAACTTTCCTTTAGAAGAGCAGATGTTAAACACCCTTTTTGTGGAATTTGCAGCTGGAGATTTCAAGCGCTTTGAGGCCTACGGTAGAAAAGGAAACATCTTCTAAAGTCTAGACAGAATCATTCACAGAATCTTTTTTGATGTGTGTGTTCAGCTCACAGAGTTTAACCTTTCTTTTGATGGAGCAGTTTGGAAACACTCTGTTTGTAATGTCTGCAAGTGGATATTTGGACCTCTTTGAGGCCTTCGTTGGAAACGGGATTTCTTCATGTAATGTTCGACAGAAGAATTCTCAGTAACTTATTTGTGGTGTGTGTATTCAACTCACAGAGTTGAACCTTCCTTCAGAAAGAGCAGATTTGAAACACTCTTTTTGTGGAGTTTCCATGTGGAGATTTCAATGGCTTTGAGACCAAAAGTAGAAAAGGAAACATCTTCGTATAAAAACTAGACAGAATCATTCACAGAAACTACTTTGTGACGTGTGTGTTCAACTCAAGGAGTTTAACCTTTCTTTTGATGGAGCAGTTTGGAAAAACTCTGTCTGTAAAGTCTGCAAGCAGATATTTGGACGTCTTTGGGGTCTTCGTTGGAAAGGGGATTTCTTCATAGAACGCTAGAAAGAAGAATACTGAGTAAGTTCTTTGTGTTGCCTCTATTCAACTCACAGAGGTGAACTGTCCTTTAGACAGAGCAGATGTGAAACCCTCTTTTTGTGATATTTGCAGGTGGAGATTTCAAGCGCTTTTAGGCCAAATGTAGAAAAGGAAATATCTTCGTATAAAAACTAGACAGAATCATTCTCAGAAACTACTTTGTGATGTGTGCGTTCAATTCACAGAGTATAACCTTTCTTTTGATGGAGGAGTTTGGAGACACTGTCTTTGTAAAGTCTGCAAGTGGATATTTGGACCTCTTTGAGGCCTTCGTTGGAAACGGGATTTCCTCATATAATGTTACCCAGAATAATTCTCAGTAACTTATTTGTGGTGTGTGTATTCAACTCACAGAGTTGAACCTTCCTTCAGAAAGAGCAGATTTGAAACACTCTTTTTGTAGAGTTTCCATGTGGAGATTTCAATCGCTTTGAGACCAAAGGTAGAAAAGGAAACATCTTCGTATAAAAACTAGACAGAATCATTCACAGAAACTACTTTGTGATGTGTGTGTTCAACCCAAGGAGTTTAACCTTTCTTTTGATGGAGCAGTTTGGAAACACTCTGTCTGTAAAGTCTGCAAGCAGATATTTGGACCTCTTTGAGGCCTTCGTTGGAAACGGGATTTCTTCATATAATGTTTGATAGGAGAAGTCTCAGTAACTTCTTTGTGCTGTGTGTATTCAACTCATAGAGTTGAACTTTCCTTTAGAAGAGCAGATGTTAAACACCCTTTTTGTGGAATTTGCAGCTGGAGATTTCAAGCGCTTTGAGGCCTACGGTAGAAAAGGAAACATCTTCTTATAAAATCTAGACAGAAATCATTCACAGAAACTTCTTTTTGATGTGTGGGTTCAGCTCACAGAGTTTAACCTTTCTTTTGATGGAGCAGTTTGGAAACACTCTGTTTGTAATGTCTGCAAGTGGATATTTGGACCTCTTTGAGGCCTTCGTTGGAAACGGGATTTCTTCAAGTAATGTTCGACAGAAGAATTCTCAGTAACTTATTTGTGGTGTGTGTATTCAACTCACAGAGTTGAACCTTCCTTTAGACAGAGCAGATTTGAAACACCCTATTTGTGCAGTTTCCAGTTGGAGATTTCAATCGCTTTGAGACCAAATGTAGAAAAGGAAACATCTTCGTATAAAAACTAGACAGAATCATTCTCAGAAACTACTTTGTGATGTGTGCGTTCAACTCAAGGAGTTTAAGCTTTCTTTTCATAGAGTAGTTTGGAAACACTCTGTCTGTAAAGTCTGCAAGCAGATATTTGGACCTCTTTGGGGCCTTCGTTGGAAACGGGATTTCTTCATAGAACGCTAGAAAGAAGAATACTGAGTAAGTTCTTTGTGTTGCCTCTATTCAACTCACAGAGTTGAACTGTCCTTTAGACAGAGCAGATGTGAAACCCTCTTTTTGTGATATTTGCAGGTGGAGATTTCAAGCGCTTTTAGGCCAAATATAGAAAAGGAAATATCTTCGTATAAAAACTAGACAGAATCATTCTCAGAAACTACTTTGTGATGTGTGTGTTCAACTCAAGGAGTTTAACCTTTCTTTTGATGGAGCAGTTTGGAAAAACTCTGTCTGTAAAGTCTGCAAGCAGATATTTGGACCTCTTTGAGGCCTTCGTTGGAAACGGGATTTCTTCATATAATGTTTGATAGGAGAAGTCTCAGTAACTTCTTTGTTCTGTGTGTATTCAACTCATAGAGTTGAACTTTCCTTTAGAAGAGCAGATGTTAAACACCCTTTTTGTGGAATTTGCAGCTGGAGATTTCAAGCGCTTTGAGGCCTACAGTAGAAAAGGAAACATCTTCTTATAAAATCTAGACAGAATCATTCACAGAAACATCTTTTTGATGTGTGTGTTCAGCTCACAGAGTTTAACCTTTCTTTTGATGGAGCAGTTTGGAAACACTCTGTTTGTAATGTCTGCAAGTGGATATTTGGACCTCTTTGAGGCCTTCGTTGGAAACGGGATTTCTTCAAGTAATGTTCGACAGAAGAATTCTCAGTAACTTATTTGTGGTGTGTGTATTCAACTCACAGAGTTGAACCTTCCTTTAGACAGAGCAGATTTGAAACAGCCTATTTGTGGAGTTTCCAGTTGGAGATTTCAATCGCTTTGAGAGCAAATGTAGAAAAGGGAACATCTTCGTATAAAAACTAGACAGAATCATTCTCAGAAACTACTTTGTGATGTGTGCGTTCAACTCAAGGGGTTTAAGCTTTCTTTTCATAGAGTAGTTTGGAAACACTCTGTCTGTAAAGTCTGCAAGCAGATATTTGGACCTCTTTGAGGCCTTCGTTGGAAACGGGATTTCTTCAGAGAACGCTGGAAAGAAGAATACTGGGTAAGTTCTTTGTGTTGCCTCTATTCAACTCACAGAGGTGAACTGTCCTTTAGACAGAGCAGATGTGAAACCCTCTTTTTGTGATATTTGCAGGTGGAGATTTCAAGCGCTTTTAGGCCAAATGTAGAAAAGGAAATATCTTCGTATAAAAACTAGACAGAATCATTCTCAGAAACTACTTTGTGATGTGTGCGTTCAATTCACAGAGTATAACCTTTCTTTTGATGGAGGAGTTTGGAGACACTGTCTTTGTAAAGTCTGCAAGTGGATATTTGGACCTCTTTGAGGCCTTCGTTGGAAACGGGATTTCCTCATATAATGTTACACAGAAGAATTCTCAGTAACTTATTTGTGGTGTGTGTATTCAACTCACAGAGATGAACCTTCCTTCAGAAAGAGCAGATTTGAAACACTCTTTTTGTGGAGTTTCCATGTGGAGATTTCAATCGCTTTGAGACCAAAGGTAGAAAAGGAAACATCTTCGTATAACAACTAGACAGAATCATTCACAGAAACTACTTTGTGATGTGTGTGTTCAACTCAAGGAGTTTAACCTTTCTTTTGATGGAGCAGTTTGGAAACACTCTGTCTGTAAAGTCTGCAAGCAGATATTTGGACCTCTTTGAGGCCTTCGTTGGAAACGGGATTTCTTCATATAATGTTTGACAGGAGAAGTCTCAGTAACTTCTTTGTGCTGTGTGTATTCAACTCATAGAGTCGAACTTTCCTTTAGAAGAGCAGATGTTAAACACCCTTTTTGTGGAATTTGCAGCTGGAGATTTCAAGCGCTTTGAGGCCTACGGTAGAAAAGGAAACATCTTCTTATAAAATCTAGACAGAATCATTCACAGAAACTTCTTTTTGATGTGTGTGTTCAGCTCACAGAGTTTAACCTTTCTTTTGTTGGAGTAGTTTGGAAACACTCTGTTTGTAATATCTGCAAGTGGATATTTGGACCTCTTTGAGGCCTTCGTTGGAAACGGGATTTCTTCAAGTAATGTTCGACAGAAGAATTCTCAGTAACTTATTTGTGGTGTGTGTATTCAACTCACAGAGTTGAGCCTTCCTTTAGACAGAGCAGATTTGAAACACCCTATTTGTGCAGTTTCCAGTTGGAGATTTCAATCGCTTTGAGACCAAATGTAGAAAAGGAAACATCTTCGTATAAAAACTAGACAGAATCATTCTCCGAAACTACTTTGTGATGTGTGCGTTCAACTCAAGGAGTTTAAGCTTTCTTTTCATAGAGTAGTTTGGAAACACTCTGTCTGTAAAGTCTGCAAGCAGATATTTGGACCTCTTTGGGGCCTTCGTTGGAAACGGGATTTCTTCATAGAACGCTAGAAAGAAGAATACTGAGTAAGTTCTTTGTGTTGCCTCTATTCAACTCACAGAGGTGAACTGTCCTTTAGACAGAGCAGATGTGAAACCCTCTTTTTGTGATATTTGCAGGTGGAGATTTCAAGCGCTTTTAGGCCAAATGTAGAAAAGGAAATATCTTCGTATAAAAACTAGACAGAATCATTCTCAGAAACTACTTTGTGATGTGTGCGTTCAATTCACAGAGTATAACCTTTCTTTTGATGGAGGAGTTTGGAGACACTGTCTTTGTAAAGTCTGCAAGTGGATATTTGGACCTCTTTGAGGCCTTCGTTGGAAACGGGATTTCCTCATATAATGTTACCCAGAAGAATTCTCAGTAACTTATTTGTGGTGTGTGTATTCAACTCACAGAGTTGAACCTTCCTTCAGAAAGAGCAGATTTGAAACACTCTTTTTGTGGAGTTTCCATGTGGAGATTTCAATCGCATTGAGACCAAAGGTAGAAAAGGAAACATCTTCGTATAAAAACTAGACAGAATCATTCACAGAAACTACTTTGTGATGTGTGTGTTCAACTCAAGGAGTTTAACCTTTCTTTTGATGTAGCAGTTTGGAAACACTCTGTCTGTAAAGTCTGCAAGCAGATATTTGGACCTCTTTGAGGCCTTCGTTGGAAACGGAATTTCTTCATATAATGTTTGATAGGAGAAGTCTCAGTAACTTCTTTGTGTTGTGTGTATTCAACTCATAGGGTTGAACTTTCCTTTAGAAGAGCAGATCATAAACACCCTTTTTGTGGAATTTGCAGCTGGAGATTTCAAGCGCTTTGAGGCCTACGGTAGAAAAGGAAACATCTTCTTATAAAATCTAGACAGAATCATTCACAGAAACTCCTTTTTGATGTGTGTGTTCAGCTCACAGAGTTTAACCTTTCTTTTGATGGAGCAGTTTGGAAACACACTGTTTGTAATGTCTGCAAGTGGATATTTGGACCTCTTTGAGGCCTTCGTTGGAAACGGGATTTCTTCATGTAATGTTCGACAGAAGAATTCTCAGTAACTTATTTGTGGTGTGTGTATTCAACTCACAGAGTTGAACCTTCCTTTAGACAGAGCAGATTTGAAACACCCTATTTGTGCAGTTTCCCGTTGGAGATTTCAATCGCTTTGAGACCAAATGTAGAAAAGGAAACATCTTCGTATAAAAACTAGACAGAGAATCATTCACAAAAACTACTTTGTGATGTGTGTGTTCAACTCAAGGAGTTTAACCTTTCTTTTGATGGAGCAGTTTGGAAACACTCTGTCTGTAACGTCTGCAAGCAGATATTTGGACCTCTTTGGGGACTTCGTTAGAAACGGGATTTCTTCATAGAACGCTAGAAAGAAGAATACTGAGTAAGTTCTTTGTGTTGCCTCTATTCCACTCACAGAGGTGAACTGTCCTTTAGACAGAGCAGATGTGAAACCCTCTTTTTGTGATATTTGCAGGTGGAGATTTCAAGCACTTTTAGGCCAAATGTAGAAAAGGAAACATCTTCGTATAAAAACTAGACAGAATCATTCTCAGAAACTACTTGGTGATGTGTGCGTTCAATTCACAGAGTATAACCTTTCTTTTGATGGAGGAGTTTGGAGACACTGTCTTTGTAAAGTCTGCAAGTGGATATTTGGACCTCTTTGAGGCCTTCGTTGGAAACGGGATTTCCTCATATAATGTTACACAGAAGAATTCTCAGTAACTTATTTGTGGTGTGTATATTCAACTCACAGAGATGAACCTTCCTTCAGAAAGAGCAGATTTGAAACACTCTTTTTGTGGAGTTTCCATGTGGAGATTTCAATCGCTTTGAGACCAAAGGTAGAAAAGGAAACATCTTCGTATAACAACTAGACAGAATCATTCACAGAAACTACTTTGTGATGTGTGTGTTCAACTCAAGGAGTTTAACCTTTCTTTTGATGGAGCAGTTTGGAAACACTCTGTCTGTAAAGTCTGCAAGCAGATATTTGGACCTCTTTGAGGCCTTCGTTGGAAACGGGATTTCTTCATATAATGTTTGATAGGAGAAGTCTCAGTAACTTCTTTGTGCTGTGTGTATTCAACTCATAGAGTTGAACTTTCCTTTAGAAGAGCAGATGTTAAACACCCTTTTTGTGGAATTTGCAGCTGGAGATTTCAAGCGCTTTGAGGCCTACGGTAGAAAAGGAAACATCTTCTTATAAAATCTAGACAGAATCATTCACAGAAACTTCTTTTTGATGTGTGTGTTCAGCTCACAGAGTTTAACCTTTCTTTTGATGGAGCAGTTTGGAAACACTCTGTTTGTAATGTCTGCAAGTGGATATTTGGACGTCTTTGAGGCCTTCGTTGGAAACGGGATTTCTTCATGTAATGTTCGACAGAAGAATTCTCAGTAACTTATTTGTGGTGTGTGTATTCAACTCACAGAGTTGAACCCTCTTTTAGACAGAGCAGATTTGAAACAGCCTATTTGTGCAGTTTCCAGTTGGAGATTTCAATCGCTTTGAGACCAATTGTAGAAAGGGAAACATCTTCATATAAAAACTAGACAGAATCATTCTCAGAAACTACTTTGTGATGTGTGCGTTCAACTCAAGGAGTTTAAGCTTTCTTTTCATAGAGTAGTTTGGAAACACTCTGTCTGTAAAGTCTGCAAGCAGATATTTGGACCTCTTTGGGGCCTTCGTTGGAAACGGGATTTCTTCATAGAACGCTAGAAAGAAGAATACTGAGTAAGTTCTTTGTGTTGCCTCTATTCAACTCACAGAGGTGAACTGTCCTTTAGACAGAGCAGATGTGAAACCCTCTTTTTGTGATATTTGCAGGTGGAGATTTCAAGCGCTTTTAGGCCAAATGTAGAAAAGGAAATATCTTCGTATAAAAACTAGACAGAATCATTCTCAGAAACTACTTTGTGATGTGTGCGTACAATTCACAGAGTATAACCTTTCTTTTGATGGAGGAGTTTGGAGACACTGTCTTTGTAAAGTCTGCGTGTGGATATTTGGACCTCTTTGAGGCCTTCGTTGGAAACGGGATTTCCTCATATAATGTTACACAGAAGAATTCTCAGTAACTTATTTGTGGTGTGTGTATTCAACTCACAGAGTTGAACCTTCGTTCAGAAAGAGCAGATTTGAAACACTCTTTTTGTGGAGTTTCCATGTGGAGATTTCAATCGCTTTGAGACCAAAGGTAGAAAAGGAAACATCTTCGTATAAAAATTAGACAGAATCATTCACAGAAACTACTTTGTGATGTGTGTGTTCAACTCAAGGAGTTTAACCTTTCTCTTGATGGAGCAGTTTGGAAAAACTGTGTCTGTAAAGTCTGCCAGCAGATATTTGGACCTCTTTGAGGCCTTCGTTGGAAACGGGATTTCTTCATATAATGTTTGATAGGAGAAGTCTCAGTAACTTCTTTGTGCTGTGTGTATTCAACTCATAGAGTTGAACTTTCCTTTAGAAGAGCAGATGTTAAACACCCTTTTTGTGGAATTTGCAGCTGGAGATTTCAAGCGCTTTGAGGCCTACGGTAGAAAAGGAAACATCTTATAAAATCTAGACAGAATCATTCACAGAAACTTCTTTTTGATGTGTGTGTTCAGCTCACAGAGTTTAACCTTTCTTTTGATGGAGCAGTTTGGAAACACTCTGTTTGTAATGTCTGCAAGTGGTTATTTGGACCTCCTTGAGGCCTTCGTTGGAAACGGGATTTTTTCAAGTAATGTTCGACAGAAGAATTCTCAGTAACTTATTTGTGGTGTGTGTATTCAACTCACAGAGTTGAACCTTCCCTTTAGACAGAGCAGATTTGAAACACCCTATTTGTGCAGTTTCCAGTTGGAGATTTCAATCGCTTTGAGACCAAATGTAGAAAAGGAAACATCTTCGTATAAAAACTAGACAGAATCATTCTCAGAAACTACTTTGTGATGTGTGCGTTCAACTCAAGGAGTTTAAGCTTTCTTTTCATAGAGTAGTTTGGAAACACTCTGTCTGTAAAGTCTGCAAGCAGATATTTGGACCTCTTTGGGGCCTTCGTTGGAAACGGGATTTCTTCATAGAACGCTAGAAAGAAGAATACTGAGTAAGTTCTTTGTGTTGCCTCTATTCAACTCACAGAGGTGAACTGTCCTTTAGACAGAGCAGATGTGAAACCCTCTTTTTGTGATATTTGCAGGTGGAGATTTCAAGCGCTTTTAGGCCAAATGTAGAAAAGGAAATATCTTCGTATAAAAACTAGACAGAATCATTCTCAGAAACTACTTTGTGATGTGTGCGTTCAATTCACAGAGTATAACCTTTCTTTTGATGGAGGAGTTTGGAGACACTGTGTTTGTAAAGTCTGCAAGTGGATATTTGGACCTCTTTGAGGCCTTCGTTGGTAACGGGATTTCCTCATATAATGTTACACAGAAGAATTCTCAGTAACTTATTTGTGGTGTGTGTATTCAACTCACAGAGTTGAACCTTCCTTCAGAAAGAGCAGATTTGAAACACTCTTTTTGTGGAGTTTCCATGTGGAGATTTCAATCGCTTTGAGACCAAAGGTAGAAAAGGAAACATCTTCGTATAAAAACTAGACAGAATCATTCACAGAAACTATTTTGTGATGTGTGTGTTCAACTCAAGGAGTTTAACCTTTCTTTTGATGGAGCAGTTTGGAAACACTCTGTCTGCAAAGTCTGCAAGCAGATATTTGGACCTCTTTGAGGCCTTCGTTGGAAACGGGATTTCTTCATATAATGTTTGATAGGAGAAGTCTCAGTAACTTCTTTGTGCTGTGTGTATTCAACTCATAGAGTTGAACTTTCCTTTAGAAGAGCAGATGTTAAACACCCTTTTTGTGGAATTTGCAGCTGGAGATTTCAAGCGCTTTGAGGCCTACGGTAGAAAAGGAAACATCTTCTTATAAAATCTAGACAGAATCATTCACAGAAACTTCTTTTTGATGTGTGTGTTCAGCTCACAGAGTTTAAACTTTCTTTTGATGGAGCAGTTTGGAAACACTCTGTTTGCAATGCCTGCAAGTGGATATTTGGACCTCTTTGAGGCCTTCGTTGGAAACGGGAATTCTTCATGTAATGTTCGACAGAAGAATTCTCAGTAACTTATTTGTGGTGTGTGTATTCAACTCACAGAGTTGAACCTTCCTTTAGACAGAGCAGATTTGAAACACCCTATTTGTGCAGTTTCCAGTTGGAGATTTCAATCGCTTTGAGGCCAATCATAGAAACGGAAATAACTTTGTATAAAAACAAGACAGAATCATTCTCAGAAACTACTTTGTGATGTGTGCGTTCAACTCAAGGAGTTTAAGCTTTCTTTTCATAGAGTAGTTTGGAAACACTCTGTCTGTAAAGTCTGCAAGCAGATATTTGGACCTCTTTGAGGCCTTCGTTGGAAACGGGATTTCTTCATATAACGCTAGAAAGAAGAATACTGAGTAAGTTCTTTGTGTTGCCTCTATTCAACTCACAGAGGTGAACTGTCCTTTAGACAGAGCAGATGTGAAACCCTCTTTTTGTGATATTTGCAGGTGGAGATTTCAAGCGCTTTTAGGCCAAATATAGAAAAGGAAATATCTTCGTATAAAAACTAGACAGAATCATTCTCAGAAACTACTTTGTGATGTGTGCGTTCAATTCACAGAGTATAACCTTTCTTTTGATGGAGGAGTTTGGAGACACTGTCTTTGTAAAGTCTGCAAGTGGATATTTGGACCTCTTTGAGGCCTTCGTTGGAAACGGGATTTCCTCATATAATGTTACACAGAAGAATTCTCAGTAACTTATTTGTGGTGTGTGTATTCAACTCACAGAGTTGAACCTTCCTTCAGAAAGAGCAGATTTGAAACACTCTTTTTGTGGAGTTTCCATGTGGAGATTTCAATCGCTTTGAGACCAAAGGTAGAAAAGGAAACATCTTCGTATAAAAACTAGACAGAATCATTCACAGAAACTACTTTGTGATGTGTGTGTTCAACTCAAGGAGTTTAACCTTTCTTTTGATGGAGCAGTTTGGAAACACTCTGTCTGTAAAGTCTGCAAGCAGATATTTGGACCTCTTTGAGGCCTTCGTTGGAAACGGGATTTCTTCATATAATGTTTGATGGGAGAAGTCTCAGTAACTTCTTTGTGCTGTGTGTATTCAACTCATAGAGTTGAACTTTCCTTTAGAAGAGCAGATGTTAAACACCCTTTTTGTGGAATTTGCAGCTGGAGATTTCAAGCGCTTTGAGGCCTACGGTAGAAAAGGAAACATCTTCTTATAAAATCTAGACAGAATCATTCACAGAAACTTCTTTTTGATGTGTGTGTTCAGCTCACAGAGTTTAACATTTCCTTTGATGGAGCAGTTTGGAAACACTCAGTTTGTAATATCTGCAAGTGGATATATGGACCTCTTTGAGGCCTTGGTTGGAAACGGGATTTCTTCATGTAATGTTCGACAGAAGAATTCTCAGTAACTTATTTGTGGTGTGTGTATTCAACTCACAGAGTTGAACCTTCCTTTAGACAGAGCAGATTTGAAACACCCTATTTGTGCAGTTTCCAGTTGGAGATTTCAATCGCTTTGAGACCAAATGTAGAAAAGGAAACATCTTCGTATAAAAACTAGACAGAATCATTCTCAGAAACTACTTTGTGATGTGTGCGTTCAACTCAAGGAGTTTAAGCTTTCTTTTCATAGAGTAGTTTGGAAACACTCTGTAAAGTCTGCAAGCAGATATTTGGACCTCTTTGAGGCATTCGTTGGAAACGGGATTTCTTCATAGAACGGTAGAAAGAAGAATACTGAGTAAGTACTTTGTGTTGCCTCTATTCAACACACAGAGGTGAACTGTCCTTTAGACAGAGCAGATGTGAAACCCTCTTTTTGTGATATTTGCAGGTGGAGATTTCAAGCGCTTTTAGGCCAAATGTAGAAAAGGAAATATCTTCGTATAAAAACTAGACACAATCATTCTCAGAAACTACTTTGTGATGTGTGCGTTCAATTCACAGAGTATAACCTTTCTTTTGATGGACGAGTTTGGAGACACTGTCTTTGTAAAGTCTGCAAGTGGATATTTGGACCTCTTTGAGGCCTTCGTTGGAAACGGGATTTCCTCATATAATGTTACACAGAAGAATTCTCAGTAACTTATTTGTGGTGTGTTTATTCAACTCACAGAGTTGAACCTTCCTTCAGAAAGAGCAGATTTGAAACACTCTTTTTGTGGAGTTTCCATGTGGAGATTTCAATCGCTTTGAGACCAAAGGTAGAAAAGGAAACATCTTCGTATAAAAACTAGACAGAATCATTCACAGAAACTACTTTGTGATGTGTGTGTTCAACTCAAGGAGTTTAACCTTTCTTTTGATGGAGCAGTTTGGAAACACTCTGTCTGTAAAGTCTGCAAGCGGATATTTGGACCTCTTTGGGGCCTTCGTTGGAAACGGGATTTCTTCATATAACGCTAGAAAGAAGAAGTCTCAGTAACTTCTTTGTGCTGTGTGTATTCAACTCATAGAGTTGAACTTTCCTTTAGAAGAGCAGATGTTAAACACCCTTTTTGTGGAATTTGCAGCTGGAGATTTCAAGCGCTTTGAGGCCTACGGTAGAAAAGGAAACATCTTCTTATAAAATCTAGACAGAATCATTCACAGAAACTTCTTTCTGATGTGTGTGTTCATCTCAGAGAGTTTAACCTTTCTTTTGACGGAGCAGTTTGGAAACACTGTGTTTGCATTGTCGGCTACTGGATATTTGGACCTCTCTCAGGCCTTCGTTGGAAACGGGATTTCTTCATGTAATGTTCGAGAGAAGAATTCTCAGTATCTTATTTATGGTGTGTGTATTCAACTCACAGAGTTGAACCTTCCTTTAGACAGAGCAGATTTGAAACACCCTATTTGTGCAGTTTCCAGTTGGAGATTTCAATCGCTTTGAGACCAAATGTGGAAAAGGAAACATCTTCGTACAAAAACTAGACAGCATCATTCTCAGAAACTACTTTGTGATGTGTGCGTTCAACTCAAGGAGTTTAAGCTTTCTTTTCATAGAGTAGTTTGGAAACACTCTGTCTGTAAAGTCTGCAAGCAGATATTTGGACCTCTTTGGGGCCTTCGTTGGAAACGGGATTTCTTCATAGAACGCTAGAAAGAAGAATACTAAGTTCTTTGTGTTGCCTCTATTCTACTCACAGAGGAGAACTGTCCTTTAGACAGAGCAGATGTGAAACCCTCTTTTTGTGATACTTGCCGGTGGAGATTTCAAGGGCTTTTAGGCCTAATGTAGAAAAGGAAATATCTTCGTATAAAAACTAGACAGAATCATTCTCAGAAACTACTTTGTGATGTGTGCGTTCAATTCACAGAGTATAACCTTTCTTTTGATGGAGGAGTTTGGAGACACTGTCTTTGTAAAGTCTGCAAGTGGATATTTGGACCTCTTTGAGGCCTTCGTTGGAAACGGGATTTCCTCATATAATGTTACACAGAAGAATTCTCAGTAACTTATTTGTGGTGTGTGTATTCAACTCACAGAGTTGAACCTTCCTTCAGAAAGAGCAGATTTGAAACACTCTTTTTGTGGAGTTTCCATGTGGAGATTTCAATCGCTTTGAGACCAAAGGTAGAAAAGGAAACATCTTCGTATAAAAACTAGACAGAATCATTCACAGAAACTACTTTGTGATGTGTGGGTTCAACTCAAGGAGTTTAACCTTTCTTTTGATGGAGGAGTTTGGAGACACTGTCTTTGTAAAGTCTGCAAGCAGATATTTGGACCTCTTTGAGGCCTTCGTTGGAAACGGGATTTCTTCATATGATGTTTGATAGGAGAAGTCTCAGTAACTTCTTTGTGCTGTGTGTACTCAACTCATTGAGTTGAACTTTCCTTTAGAAGAGCATATGTTAAACACCCTTTTTGTGGAATTTGCAGCTGGAGATTTCAAGCGCTTTGAGGCCAACGGTAGAAAAGGAAACATCTTCTTATAAAATCTAGACAGAATCATTCACAGAAACTTCTTTTTGATGTGTGTGTTCAGCTCACAGAGTTTAACCTTTCTTTTGATGGAGCAGTTTGGAAACACTCTGTTGTAATGTCTGCAAGTGGATATTTGGACCTCTTTGAGGCCTTCGTTGCAAACGGGATTTCTTCAAGTAATGTTCGACAGAAGAATTCTCAGTAACTTATTTGTGGTGTGTGTATTCAACTCACAGAGTTGAACCTTCCTTTAGACAGAGCAGATTTGAAACAGCCTATTTGTGCAGTTTCCAGTTGGAGATTTCAAGAGCTTTGAGACCAAATGTAGAAAAGGAAACATCTTCGTATAAAAACTAGACAGAATCATTCTCAGAAACTACTTTGTGATGTGTGCGTTCAACTCAAGGAGTTTAAGCTTTCTTTTCATAGAGTAGTTTGGAAACACTCTGTAAAGTCTGCAAGCAGATATTTGGACCTCTTTGAGGCCTTCGTTGGAAAAGGGATTTCTTCATAGAACGCTAGAAAGAAGAATACTGAGTAAGTTCTTTGTGTTGCCTCTATTCAACTCACAGAGGTGAACTGTCCTTTAGACAGAGCAGATGTGAAACCCTCTTTTTGTGATATTTGCAGGTGGAGATTTCAAGCACTTTTAGGCCAAATGTAGAAAAGGAAATATCTTCGTATAAAAACTAGACAGAATCATTCTCAGAAACTACTTTGTGATGTGTGCGTTCAATTCACAGAGTATAACCTTTCTTTTGATGGAGGAGTTTGGAGACACTGTCTTTGTAAAGTCTGCAAGTGGATATTTGGACCTCTTTGAGGCCTTCGTTGGAAACGGGATTTCCTCATATAATGTTACCCAGAAGAATTCTCAGTAACTTATTTGTGGTGTGTGTATTCAACTCACAAGAGATGAACCTTCCTTCAGAAAGAGCAGATTTGAAACACTCTTTTTGTGGAGTTTCCATGTGGAGATTTCAATCGCTTTGAGACCAAAGGTAGAAAAGGAAACATCTTCGTATAACAACTAGACAGAATCATTCACAGAAACTACTTTGTGATGTGTGTGTTCAACTCAAGGAGTTTAACCTTTCTTTTGATGGAGCAGTTTGGAAACACTCTGTCTGTAAAGTCTGCAAGCAGATATTTGGACCTCTTTGAGGCCTTCGTTGGAAACGGGATTTCTTCATATAATGTTTGATAGGAGAAGTCTCAGTAACTTCTTTGTGCTGTGTGTATTCAACGCATAGAGTTGAACTTTCCTTTAGAAGAGCAGATGTTAAACACCCTTTTTGTGAAATTTGCAGCTGGAGATTTCAAGCGCTTTGAGGCCTACGGTAGAAAAGGAAACATCTTCTTATAAAATCTAGACAGAATCATTCACAGAAACTTCTTTTTGATGTGTGTGTTCAGCTCACAGAGTTTAACCTTTCTTTTGATGGAGCAGTTTGGAAACACTCTGTTTGTAATGTCTGCAAGTGGATATTTGGACCTCTTTGAGGCCTTCGTTGGAAACGGGATTTCTTCAAGTAATGTTCGACAGAAGAATTCTCAGTAACTTATTTGTGGTGTGTGTATTCAACTCACAGAGTTGAACTTTCCTTTAGACAGAGCAGATTTGAAACACCCTATTTGTGCAGTTTCCAGTTGGAGATTTCAATCGCTTGGAGGCCTATCATAGAAACGGAAATATCTTCGTATAAAAACAAGACAGAATCATTCTCAGAAACTGCTTTGTGATGTGTGCGTTCAACTCAAGGAGTTTAAGCTTTCTTTTCATAGAGTAGTTTGGAAACACTCTGTCTGTAAAGTCTGCAAGCAGATATTTGGACCTCTTTGAGGCCTTCGTTGGAAACGGGATTTCTTCATGTAACGCTAGAAAGAAGAATACTCAGTAACTTCTTTGTGCTGCCTCTATTCAACTCACAGAGGTGAACTGTCCTTTAGACAGAGCAGATGTGAAACCCTCTTTTTGTGATATTTGCAGGTGGAGATTTCAAGCGCTTTTAGGCCAAATGTAGAAAAGGAAATATCTTCGTATTAAAACTAGACAGAATCATTCTCAGAAACTACTTTGTGATGTGTGCGTTCAATTCACAGAGTATAACCTTTCTTTTGATGGAGGAGTTTGGAGACACTGTCTTTGTAAAGTCTGCAAGTGGATATTTGGACCTCTTTGAGGCCTTTGTTGGAAACGGGATTTCCTCATATAATGTTACACAGGGAGAATTCTCAGTAACTTATTTGTGGTGTGTGTATTCAACTCACAGAGTTGAACCTTCCTTCAGAAAGAGCAGATTTGAAACACTCTTTTTGTGGAGTTTCCATGTGGAGATTTCAATCGCTTTGAGACCAAAGGTAGAAAAGGAAACATCTTCGTATAAAAACTAGACAGAATCATTCACAGAAACTACTTTGTGATGTGTGTGTTCAACTCAAGGAGTTTAACCTTTCTTTTGATGGAGCAGTTTGGAAACACTCTGTCTGTAAAGTCTGCAAGCAGATATTTGGACCTCTTTGAGGCCTTCGTTGGAAACGGGATTTCTTCATATAATGTTTGATAGGAGAAGTCTCAGTAACTTCTTTGAGCTGTGTGTATTCAACTCATAGAGTTGAACTTTCCTTTAGAAGAGCAGATGTTAAACACCCTTTTTGTGGAATTTGCAGCTGGAGATTTCAAGCGCTTTGAGGCCTACGGTAGAAAAGGAAACATCTTCTTATAAAATCTAGACAGAATCATTCACAGAAACTACTTTGTGATGTGTGTGTTCAGCTCACAGAGTTTAACTTTTCTTTTGATGGTGCAGTTTGGAAACACTCTGTTTGACAAGTCTACAAGTGGATATTTGGACCTCTTTGAGGCCTTCGTTGGAAACTGGATTTCTTCATATAATGTTAGACAGAAGAAGACTCAGTAACTTCTTTGTGCTGTGTGTATTCAACTCACAGAGCTGAACTTTTCTTTAGACAGAGCAGATGTCAAACACACTTTTTGTGGAATTTGCAGCTGGAGATTTCTAGTGCTTTGAGGAATATGGTAGAAAAGGAAACATCTTCTTATAAAATCTAGACAGAATCATTCACAGAAACTTCTTTTTGATGTGTGTGTTCATCTCACAGAGTTTAAACTTTCTTTTGACGGAGCAGTTTGCAAACACTGTGTTTGCCATGTCGGCAAGTGGATATTTGGACCTCTTTGCGGCCTTCGTTGGAAACAGGATTTCTTCATGTAATGTTCGAGCGAAGAATTCTCAGTAACTTATTTGTGGTGTGTGTATTCAACTCACAGAGTTGAACCTTCCTTTAGACAGAGCAGATTTGAAACACCCTATTTGTGCAGTTTCCAGTTGGAGATTTCAATCGCTTTGAGGCCAATCGTAGAAACGGAAATATCTTCGTATAAAAACAAGACAGAATCATTCTCAGAAACTACTTTGTGATGTGTGCGTTCAACTCAAGGAGTTTAAGCTTTCTTTTCATAGAGTACTTTGGAAACACTCTGTCTGTAAAGTCTGCAAGCAGATATTTGGACCTCATTGGGGTCTTCGTTGGAAACGGGATTTCTTCATAGAACGCTAGAAAGAAGAATACTGAGTAAGTTCTTTGTGTTGCCTCTATTCAACTCACAGAGGTGAACTGTCCTTTAGACACAGCAGATGTGAAACCCTCTTTTTGTGATATTTGCACTTGGAGATTTCAAGCGCTTTTAGGCCAAATGTAGAAAAGGAAATATCTTCGTATAAAAACTAGACAGAATCATTCTCAGAAACTACTTTGTGATGTGTGCGTTCAATTCACAGAGTATAACCTTTCTTTTGATGGAGGAGTTTGGAGACACTGTCTTTGTAAAGTCTGCAAGTGGATATTTGGACCTCTTTGAGGCCTTCGTTGGAAACGGGATTTCCTCATATAATGTTACCCAGAAGAATTCTCAGTAACTTATTTGTGGTGTGTGTATTCAACTCACAGAGTTGAACCTTCCTTCAGAAAGAGCAGATTTGAAACACTCTTTTTGTGGAGTTTCCATGTGGAGATTTCAATCGCTTTGAGACCAAAGGTAGAAAAGGAAACATCTTCGTATAAAAACGAGACAGAATCATTCACAGAAACTACTTTGTGATGTGTGTGTTCAACTCAAGGAGTTTAACCTTTCTTTTGATGGAGGAGTTTGGAAAAACTCTGTCTTTAAAGTCTGCAAGCAGATATTTGGACCTCTTTGAGTCCTTCGTTGGAAACGGGATTTCTTCATATAATGTTTGATAGGAGAAGTCTCAGTAACTTCTTTGTGCTGTGTGTATTCAACTCATAGAGTTGAACTTTCCTTTAGAAGAGCAGATGTTAAACACCCTTTTTGTGGAATTTACAGCTGGAGATTTCAAGCGCTTTGAGGCCTACGGTAGAAAAGGAAACATCTTCTTATAAAATCTAGACAGAATCATTCACAGAAACTTCTTTTCAATGTGTGTGTTCAGCTCACAGAGTTTAACCTTTCTTTTGATGGAGCAGTTTGGAAACACTCTGTAATGTCTGCAAGTGGATATTTGGACCTCTTTGAGGCCTTCGTTGGAAACGGGATTTCTTCATGTAATGTTCGACAGAAGAATTCTCAGTAACTTATTTGTGGTGTGTGTATTCAACTCACAGAGTTGAACCTTCCTTTAGACAGAGCAGATTTGAAACAGCCTATTTGTGCAGTTTCCAGTTGGAGATTTCAATCGCTTTGAGACCAAATGTAGAAAAGGAAACATCTTCGTATAAAAACTAGACAGAATCATTCTCAGAAACTACTTTGTGATGTGTGCGTTCAACTCAAGGAGTTTAAGCTTTCTTTTCATAGAGTAGTTTGGAAACACTCTGTCTGTAAAGTCTGCAAGCAGATATTTGACCTCTTTGAGGCCTTCGTTGGAAACGGGATTTCTTCATAGAACGCTAGAAAGAAGAATACTGAGTAAGTTCTTTGTGTTGCCTCTATTCAACTCACAGAGGTGAACTGTCCTTTAGACAGAGCAGATGTGAAACCCTCTTTTTGTGATATTTGCAGGTGGAGATTTCAAGCGCTTTTAGGCCAAATGTAGAAAAGGAAATATCTTCGTATAAAAACTAGACAGAATCATTCTCAGAAACTACTTTGTGATGTGTGCGTTCAATTCACAGAGTATAACCTTTCTTTTGATGGAGCAGTTTGGAGACACTCTCTTTGTAAAGTCTGCAAGTGGATATTTGGACCTCTTTCAGGCCTTCGTTGGAAACGGGATTTCCTCATATAATGTTACACAGAAGAATTATCAGTAACTTATTTGTGGTGTGTGTATTCAACTCACAGAGTTGAACCTTCCTTCAGAAAGAGCAGATTTGAAACACTCTTTTTGTGGAGTTTCCATGTGGAGATTTCAATCGCTTTGAGACCAAAGGTAGAAAAGGAAACATCTTCGTATAAAAACTAGACAGAATCATTCACAGAAACTACTTTGTGATGTGTGTGTTCAACTCAAGGAGTTTAACCTTTCTTTTGATGGAGCAGTTTGGAAAAACTCTGTCTGTAAAGTCTGCAAGCAGATATTTGGACCTCTTTGAGGCCTTCGTTGGAAACGGGATTTCTTCATATAATGTTTGATAGGAGAAGTCTCAGTAACTTCTTTGTGCTGTGTGTATTCAACTCATAGAGTTGAACTTTCCTTTAGAAGAGCAGATGTTAAACACCCTTTTTGTGGAATTTGCAGCTGGAGATTTCAAGCGCTTTGAGGCCTACGGTAGAAAAGGAAACATCTTCTTATAAAATCTAGACAGAATCATTCACAGAAACTTCTTTTCGATGTGTGTGTTCAGCTCACAGAGTTTAACCTTTCTTTTGATGGAGCAGTTTGGAAACACTCTGTTTGTAATGTCTGCAAGTGGATATTTGGACCTCTTTGAGGCCTTCGTTGGAAACGGGATTTCATCAAGTAATGGTCGACAGAAGAATTCTCAGTAACTTATTTGTGGTGTGTGTATTCAACTCACAGAGTTGAACCTTCCTTTAGACAGAGCAGATTTGAAACACCCTATTTGTGCAGTTTCCAGTTGGAGATTTCAATCGCTTTGAGACCAAATGTAGAAAAGGAAACATCTTCGTATAAAAACTAGACAGAATCATTCTCAGAAACTACTTTGTGATGTGTGCGTTCAACTCAAGGAGTTTAAGCTTAGCTTTTCATAGAGTAGTTTGGAAACACTCTGTCTGTAAAGTCTACAAGCAGATATTTGGACCTCTTTGGGGCCTTCGTTGGAAACGGGATTTCTTCATACAACGCTAGAAAGAAGAATACTGAGTAAGTTCTTTGTGTTGCCTCTATTCAACTCACAGAGGTGAACTGTCCTTTAGACAGAGCAGATGTGAAACCCTCTTTTTGTTATATTTGCAGGTGGAGATTTCAAGCGTTTTCAGGCCAAATGTAGAAAAGGAAATATCTTCGTATAAAAACTAGACAGAATCATTCTCAGAAACTACTTTGTGATGTGTGCGTTCAATTCACAGAGTATAACCTTTCTTTTGATGGAGGAGTTTGGAGACACTGTCTTTGTAAAGTCTGCAAGTGGATATTTGGACCTCTTTGAGGCCTTCGTTGGAAACGGGATTTCCTCATATAATGTTACACAGAAGAATTCTCAGTAACTTATTTGTGGTGTGTGTATTCAACTCACAGAGTTGAACCTTCCTTCAGAAAGAGCAGATTTGAAACACTCTTTTTGTGGAGTTTCCATGTGGAGATTTCAATCGCTTTGTGACCAAAGGTAGAAAAGGAAACATCTTCGTATAAAAACTAGACAGAATCATTCACAGAAACTACTTTGTGATGTGTGTGTTCAACTCAAGGAGTTTAACCTTTCTTTTGATGGAGCAGTTTGGAAAAACTCTGTCTGTAAAGTCTGCAAGCAGATATTTGGACCTCTTTGAGGCCTTCGTTGGAAACGGGATTTCTTCATATAATGTTTGATAGGAGAAGTCTCAGTAACTTCTTTGTGCTGTGTGTATTCAACTCATAGAGTTGAACTTTCCTTTAGAAGAGCAGATGTTAAACACCCTTTTTGTGGAATTTGCAGCTGGAGATTTCAAGCGCTTTGAGGCCTACGGTAGAAAAGGAAACATCTTCTTATAAAATCTAGACAGAATCATTCACAGAAACTTCTTTTTGATGTGTGTGTTCAGCTCACAGAGTTTAACCTTTCTTTTGATGGAGCAGTTTGGAAACACTCTGTTTGTAATGTCTGCAAGTGGATATTTGGACCTCTTTGAGGCCTTCATTGGAAACGGGATTTCTTCAAGTAATGTTCGACAGAAGAATTCTCAGTAACTTATTTGTGGTGTGTGTATTCAACTCACAGAGTTGAACCTTCCTTTAGACAGAGCAGATTTGAAACACCCTATTTGTGCAGTTTCCAGTTGGAGATTTCAATCGCTTTGAGGCCAATCATAGAAACAGAAATAACTTTGTATAAAAACAAGACAGAATCATTCTCAGAAACTACTTTGTGATGTGTGCGTTCAACTCAAGGAGTTTAAGCTTTCTTTTCATAGAGTAGTTTGGAAACACTCTGTCTGTAAAGTCTGCAAGGAGATATTTGGACCTCTTTGAGGCCTTCGTTGGAAACGGGATTTCTTCATATAATGCTAGAAAGAAGAATACTGAGTAAGTTCTTTGTGTTGCCTCTATTCAACTCACAGAGGTGAACTGTCCTTTAGACAGAGCAGATGTGAAACCCTCTTTTTGTGATATTTGCAGGTGGAGATTTCAAGCGCTTTTAGGCCAAATGTAGAAAAGGAAATATCTTCGTATAAAAACTAGACAGAATCATTCTCAGAAACTACTTTGTGATGTGTGCGTTCAATTCACAGAGTATAACCTTTCTTTTGATGGAGGAGTTTGGAGACACTGTCTTTGTAAAGTCTGCAAGTGGATATTTGGACCTCTTTGAGGCCTTCGTTGGAAACGGGATTTCCTCATATAATGTTACACAGAAGAATTCTCAGTAACTTATTTGTGGTGTGTGTATTCAACTCACAGAGTTGAACCTTCCTTCAGAAAGAGCAGATTTGAAACACTCTTTTTGTGGAGTTTCCACGTGGAGATTTCAATCGCTTTGAGACCAGAGGTAGAAAAGGAAACATCTTCGTATAAAAACTAGACAGAATCATTCACAGAAACTACTTTGTGATGTGTGTGTTCAACTCAAGGAGTTTAACCTTTCTTTTGATGGAGCAGTTTGGAAACACTCTGTCTGTAAAGTCTGCAAGCAGATATTTGGACCTCTTTGAGGCCTTCGTTGGAAACGGGATTTCTTCATATAATGTTTGATAGGAGAAGTCTCAGTAACTTCTTTGTGCTGTGTGTATTCAACTCATAGAGTTGAACTTTCCTTTAGAAGAGCAGATGTTAAACACCCTTTTTGTGGAATTTGCAGCTGGAGATTTCAAGCGCTTTGAGGCCTACGGTAGAAAAGGAAACATCTTCTTATAAAATCTAGACAGAATCATTCACAGAAACTTCTTTTTGATGTGTGTGTTCAGCTCACAGAGTTTAACCTTTCTTTTGATGGAGCAGTTTGGAAACACTCTGTTTGTAATGTCTGCAAGCGGATATTTGGACGTCTTTGAGGCCTTCGTTGGAAACGGGATTTCTTCATGTAATGTTCGACAGAAGAATTCTCAGTAACTTATTTGTGGTGTGTGTATTCAACTCACAGAGTTGAACCTTCCTTTAGACAGAGCAGATTTGAAACACCCTATTTGTGCAGTTTCCAGTTGGAGATTTCAATCGCTTTGAGACCAAATGTAGAAAAGGAAACATCTTCGTATAAAAACTAGACAGAATCATTCTCCGAAACTACTTTGTGATGTGTGCGTTCAACTCAAGGAGTTTAAGCTTTCTTTTCATAGAGTAGTTTGGAAACACTCTGTCTGTAAAGTCTGCAAGCAGATATTTGGACCTCTTTGGGGCCTTCGTTGGAAATGGGATTTCTTCATAGAACGCTAGAAAGAAGAATACTGGGTAAGTTCTTTGTGTTGCCTCTATTCAACTCACAGAGGTGAACTGTCCTTTAGACAGAGCAGATGTGAAACCCTCTTTTTGTAATATTTGCAGGTGGAGATTTCAAGCGCTTTTAGGCCAAATGTAGAAAAGGAAATATCTTCGTATAAAAACTAGACAGAATCATTCTCAGAAACTACTTTGTGATGTGTGCGTTCAATTCACAGAGTATAACCTTTCTTTTGATGGAGGAGTTTGGAGACACTGTCTTTGTAAAGTCTGCAAGTGGATATTTGGACCTCTTTGAGGCCTTCGTTGGAAACGGGATTTCCTCATATAATGTTACACAGAAGAATTCTCAGTAACTTATTTGTGGTGTGTGTATTCAACTCACAGAGATGAACCTTCCTTCAGAAAGAGCAGATTTGAAACACTCTTTTTGTGGAGTTTCCATGTGGAGATTTCAATCGCTTTGAGACCAAAGGTAGAAAAGGAAACATCTTCGTATAACAACTAGACAGAATCATTCACAGAAACTACTTTGTGATGTGTGTGTTCAACTCAAGGAGTTTAACCTTTCTTTTGATGGAGCAGTTTGGAAACACTCTGTCTGTAAAGTCTGCAAGCAGATATTTGGACCTCTTTGAGGCCTTCGTTGGAAACGGGATTTCTTCATATAATGTTTGATAGGAGAAGTCTCAGTAACTTCTTTGTGCTGTGTGTATTCAACTCATAGAGTTGAACTTTCCTTTAGAAGAGCAGATGTTAAACACCCTTTTTGTGGAATTCGCAGCTGGAGATTTCAAGCGCTTTGAGGCCTACGGTAGAAAAGGAAACATCTTCTTATAAAATCTAGACAGAATCATTCACAGAAACTTCTTTTTGATGTGTGTGTTCAGCTCACAGAGTTTGACCTTTCTTTTGATGGAGCAGTTTGGAAACACTCTGTTTGTAATGTCTGCAAGGGGATATTTGGACCTCTTTGAGGTCTTCGTTGGAAACGGGATTTCTTCATGTAATGGTCGACAGAAGAATTCTCAGTAACTTATTTGTGGTGCGTGTATTCGACTCACAGAGTTGAACCTTCCTTCAGAAAGAGCAGATTTGAAACACTCTTTTTGTGGAGTTTCCATGTGGAGATTTCAATGGCTTTGAGACCAAAGGTAGAAAACGAAACATCTTCGTATAAAAACTAGACAGAATCATTCACAGAAACTACTTTGTGATGTGTGTGTTCAACTCACAGAGTTTAACCTTTCTTTGGATGGAGCAGTTTGTAAACACTCTGTTTGTCACGTCTGCAAGTGGTTATTTGGACCTCTTTGAGGCCTTCGTTGGAAACCGGATTTCTTCATGTAATGTTCGACAGAAGAATTCTCAGTAACTTATTTGTGGTGTGTGTATTCAACTCACAGAGTTGAACCTTCCTTTAGACAGAGCAGATTTGAAACACCCTATTTGTGCAGTTCCCAGTTGGAGATTTCAATCGCTTTGAGACCAAATGTAGAAAAGGAAACATCTTCGTATAAAAACTAGACAGAATCATTCTCAGAAACTACTTTGTGATGTGTGCGTTCAACTCAAGGAGTTTAAGCTTTCTTTTCATAGAGTAGTTTGGAAACACTCTGTCTGTAAAGTCTGCAAGCAGATATTTGGACCTCTTTGGGGCCTTCGTTGGAAACGGGATTTCTTCATAGAACGCTAGAAAGAAGAATACTGAGTAAGTTCTTTGTGTTGCCTCTATTCAACTCACAGAGGTGAACTGTCCTTTAGACAGAGCAGATGTGAAACCCTCTTTTTGTGATATTTGCAGGTGGAGATTTCAAGCGCTTTGAGGCCAAATGTAGAAAAGGAAATATCTTCGTATAAAAACTAGACAGAATCATTCTCAGAAACTACTTTGTGATGTGTGCGTTCAATTCACAGAGTATAACCTTTCTTTTGATGGAGGAGTTTGGAGACACTGTCTTTGTAAAGTCTGCAAGTGGATATTTGGACCTCTTTGTGGCCTTCGTTGGAAACGGGATTTCCTCATATAATGTTACACAGAAGAATTCTCAGTAACTTATTTGTGGTGTGTGTATTCAACTCACAGAGTTGAACCTTCCTTCAGAAAGAGCAGATTTGAAACACTCTTTTTGTGGAGTTTCCATGTGGAGATTTCAATCGCTTTGAGACCAAAGGTAGAAAAGGAAACATCTTCGTATAAAAACTAGACAGAATCATTCACAGAAACTACTTTGTGATGTGTGTGTTCAACTCAAGGAGTTTAACCTTTCTTTTGATGGAGCAGTTTGGAAAAACTCTGTCTGTAAAGTCTGCAAGCAGATATTTGGACCTCTTTGGGGCCTTCGTTGGAAACGGGATTTCTTCATAGAATGCTAGAAAGAAGAAGTCTCAGTAACTTCTTTGTGCTGTGTGTATTCAACTCATAGAGTTGAACTTTCCTTTAGAAGAGCAGATGTTAAACACCCTTTTTGTGGAATTTGCAGCTGGAGATTTCAAGCGCTTTGAGGCGTACGGTAGAAAAGGAAACATCTTCTTATAAAATCTAGACAGAATCATTCACAGAAACTTCTTTTCGATGTGTGTGTTCAGCTCACAGAGTTTAACCTTTCTTTTGATGGAGCAGTTTGGAAACACTCTGTTTGTAATGTCTGCAAGTGGATATTTGGACCTCTTTGAGGCCTTCGTTGGAAACGGGATTTCTTCATATAATGTTTGATAGGAGAAGTCTCAGTAACTTCTTTGTGCTGTGTGTATTCAACTCATAGAGTTGAACTTTCCTTTAGAAGAGCAGATGTTAAACACCCTTTTTGTGGAATTTGCAGCTGGAGATTTCAAGCGCTTTGAGGCCTACGGTAGAAAAGGAAACATCTTCTTATAAAATCTAGACAGAATCATTCACAGAAACTTCTTTTTGATGTGTGTGTTCAGCTCACAGAGTTTAACCTTTCTTTTGATGGAGCAGTTTGGAAACACTCTGTTTGTAACGTCTGCAAGTGGATATTTGGACCTCTTTGAGGCCTTCGTTGGAAACGGGATTTCTTCAAGTAATGTTCGACAGAAGAATTCTCAGTAACTTATTTGTGGTGTGTGTATTCAACTCACAGAGTTGAACCTTCCTTTAGACAGAGCAGATTTGAAACAGCCTATTTGTGCAGTTTCCAGTTGGAGATTTCAATCGCTTTGAGACCAAATGTAGAAAAGGAAACATCTTCGTATAAAAACTAGACAGAATCATTCTCAGAAACTACTTTGTGATGTGTGCGTTCAACTCAAGGAGTTTAAGCTTTCTTTTCATAGAGTAGTTTGGAAACACTCTGTCTGTAAAGTCTGCAAGCAGATATTTGGACCTCTTTGGGGCCTTCGTTGGAAACGGGATTTCTTCATAGAACGCTAGAAAGAAGAATACTGAGTAAGTTCTTTGTGTTGCCTCTATTCAACTCACAGAGGTGAACTGTCCTTTAGACAGAGCAGATGTGAAACCCTCTTTTTGTGATATTTGCACGTGGAGATTTCAAGCGCTTTTAGGCCAAATGTAGAAAAGGAAATATCTTCGTATAAAAACTAGACAGAATCATTCTCAGAAACTACTTTGTGATGTGTGCGTTCAATTCACAGAGTATAACCTTTCTTTTGATGGAGGAGTTTGGAGACACTGTCTTTGTAAAGTCTGCAAGTGGATATTTGGACCTCTTTGAGGCCATCGTTGGAAACGGGATTTCCTCATATAATGTTACACAGAAGAATTATCAGTAACTTATTTGTGGTGTGTGTATTCAACTCACAGAGTTGAACCTTCCTTCAGAAAGAGCAGATTTGAAACACTCTTTTTGTGGAGTTTCCATGTGGAGATTTCAATCGCTTTGAGACCAAAGGTAGAAAAGGAAACATCTTCGTATAAAAACTAGACAGAATCATTCACAGAAACTACTTTGTGATGTGTGTGTTCAACTCAAGGAGTTTAACCTTTCTTTTGATGGAGCAGTTTGGAAACACTCTGTCTGTAAAGTCTGCAAGCAGATATTTGGACCTCTTTGAGGCCTTCGTTGGAAACGGGATTTCTTCATATAATGTTTGATAGGAGAAGTCTCAGTAACTTCTTTGTGCTGTGTGTATTCAACGCATAGAGTTGAACTTTCCTTTAGAAGAGCAGATGTTAAACACCCTTTTTGTGGAATTTGCAGCTGGAGATTTCAAGCGCTTTGTGGCCTACGGTAGAAAAGGAAACATCTTTTTATAAAATCTAGACAGAATCATTCACAGAAACTTCTTTTTGATGTGTGTGTTCAGCTCACAGAGTTTAACCTTTCTGTTGATGGAGCAGTTTGGAAACACTCGGTTTGTAATGTCTGCAAGTGGATATTTGGACCTCTTTGAGGCCTTCTTTGGAAACGGTATTTCTTCAAGTAATGTTCGACAGAAGAATTCTCAGTAACTTATTTGTGGTGTGTGTATTCAACTCACAGAGTTGAACCTTCCTTTAGACAGAGCAGATTTGAAACACCCTATTTGTGCAGTTTCCAGTTGGAGATTTCAATCGCTTTGAGACCAAATGTAGAAAAGGAAACATCTTCGTATAAAAACTAGACAGAAATCATTCTCAGAAACTACTTTGTGATGTGTGCGTTCAACTCACGGAGTTTAAGCTTTCTTTTCATAGAGTAGCTTGGAAACACTCTGTCTGTAAAGTCTGCAAGCAGATATTTGGACCTCTTTGAGGCCTTCGTTGGAAACGGGATTTCTTCATACAACGCTAGAAAGAAGAATACTGAGGAAGTTCTTTGTGTTGCCTCTATTCAACTCACAGAGGTGAACTGTCCTTTAGACAGAGCAGATGTGAAACAACCTTTTTGTGATATTTGCAGGTGGAGATTTCAAGCGCTTTTAGGCCAAATGTAGAAAAGGAAATATCTTCGTATAAAAACTAGACAGAATCATTCTCAGAAACTACTTTGTGATGTGTGCGTTCAATTCACAGAGTATAACCTTTCTTTTGATGGAGGAGTTTGGAGACACTGTCTTTGTAAAGTCTGCAAGTGGATATTTGGACCTCTTTGAGGCCTTCGTTGGAAACGGGATTTCCTCATATAATGTTACACAGAAGAATTCTCAGTAACTTATTTGTGGTGTGTGTATTCAACTCACAAGAGTTGAACCTTCCTTCAGAAAGAGCAGATTTGAAACACTCTTTTTGTGGAGTTTCCATGTGGAGATTTCAATCGCTTTGAGACCAAAGGTAGAAAAGGAAACATCTTCGTATAAAAACTAGACAGAATCATTCACAGAAACTACTTTGTGATGTGTGTGTTCAACTCAAGGAGTTTAACCTTTCTTTTGATGGAGCAGTTTGGAAAAACTCTGTCTGTAAAGTCTGCAAGCAGATATTTGTACCTCTTTGAGGCCTTCGTTGGAAACGGGATTTCTTCATCTAATGTTTGATAGGAGAAGTCTCAGTAACTTCTTTGTCCTGTGTGTATTCAACGCATAGAGTTGAACTTTCCTTTAGAAGAGCAGATGTAAAACACCCTTTTTGTGGAATTTGCAGGTGGAGATTTCAAGCGCTTTGAGGCCTACGGTAGAAAAGGAAACATCTTCTTACAAAATCTAGACAGAATCATTCACAGAAACTTCTTTTTGATGTGTGTGTTCAGCTCACAGAGTTTAACCTTTCTTTTGATGGAGCAGTTTGGAAACACTCTGTTTGTAATGTCTGCAAGTGGATATTTGGACCTCTTTGAGGCCTTCGTTGGAAACGGGATTTCTTCATATAATGTTTGATAGGAGAATTCTCAGTAACTTATTTGTGGTGTGTGTATTCAACTCACAGAGTTGAACCTTCCTTTAGACAGAGCAGATTTGAAACACCCTATTTGTGCAGTTTCCAGTTGGAGATTTCAATCGCTTTGAGACCAAATGTAGAAAGGGAAACATCTTCGTATAAAAACTAGACAGAATCATTCTCAGAAACTACTTTGTGATGTGTGCGTTCAACTCAAGGAGTTTAAGCTTTCTTTTCATAGAGTAGTTTGGAAACACTCTGTCTGTAAAGTCTGCAAGCAGATATTTGACCTCTTTGAGGCCTTCGTTGGAAACGGGATTTCTTCATAGAACGCTAGAAAGAATAATACTCAGTAACTTCTTTGTGTTGCCTCTATTCAACCCACAGAGGTGAACTGTCCTTTAGACAGAGCAGATGGGAAACCCTCTTTTTGTGATATTTGCAGGTGGAGATTTCAAGCGCTTTTAGGCCAAATGTAGAAAAGGAAATATCTTCGTATAAAAACTAGACAGAAATCATTCTCAGAAACTACTTTGTGATGTGTGTGTTCAATTCACAGAGTATAACCTTTCTTTTGATGGAGGAGTTTGGAGACACTGTCTTTGTAAAGTCTGCAAGTGGATATTTGGACCTCTTTGAGGCCTTCGTTGGAAACGGGATTTCCTCATATAATATTACACAGAAGAATTCTCAGTAACTTATTTGTGGTGTGTGTATTCAACTCACAGAGTTGAACCTTCCTTCAGAAAGAGCAGATTTGAAACACTCTTTTTGTGGAGTTTCCATGTGGAGATTTCAATCGCATTGAGACCAAAGGTAGAAAAGGAAACATCTTCGTATAAAAACTAGACAGAATCATTCACAGAAACTACTTTGTGATGTGTGTGTTCAACTCAAGGAGTTTAACCTTTCTTTTGATGGAGCAGTTTGGAAACACTCTGTCTGTAAAGTCTGCAAGCAGATATTTGGACCTCTTTGAGGCCTTCGTTGGAAACGGGATTTCTTCATATAATGTTTGATAGGAGAAGTCTCAGTAACTTCTTTGTGCTGTGTGTATTCAACTCATAGAGTTGAACTTTCCTTTAGAAGAGCAGATGTTAAACACCCTTTTTGTGGAATTTGCAGCTGGAGATTTCAAGCGCTTTGAGGCCTACGGTAGAAAAGGAAACATCTTCTTATAAAATCTAGACAGAATCATTCACAGAAACTTCTTTCTGATGTGTGTGTTCATCTCAGAGAGTTTAACCTTTCTTTTGACGGAGCAGTTTGCAAACACTGTGTTTGCATTGTCGGCAACTGGATATTTGGACCTCTTTCAGGCCTTCTTTGGAAACGGGATTTCTTCATGTAATGTTCGAGAGAAGAATTCTCAGTAACTTATTTGTGGTGTGTGTATTCAACTCACAGAGTTGAACCTTCCTTTAGACAGAGCAGATTTGAAACACCCTATTTGGCAGTTTCCAGTTGGAGATTTCAATCGCTTTGAGGCCAATCGTAGAAACGGAAATATCTTCGTATAAATACAAGACAGAATCATTCTCAGAAACTACTTTGTGATGTGTGCGTTCAACTCAAGGAGTTTAAGCTTTCTTTTCATAGAGTAGTTTGGAAACACTCTGTCTGTAAAGTCTGCAAGCAGATATTTGGACCTCTTTGGGGCCTTCGTTGGAAACGGGATTTCTTCATAGAACGCTAGAAAGAAGAATACTGAGTAAGTTCTTTGTGTTGCCTCTATTCAACTCACAGAGTTGAACTGTCCTTTAGACAGAGCAGATGTGAAACCCTCTTTTTGTGATATTTGCAGGTGGAGATTTCAAGCGCTTTTAGGCCAAATGTAGAAAAGGAAATATCTTCGTATAAAAACTAGACAGAATCATTCTCAGAAACTACTTTGTGATGTGTGCGTTCAATTCACAGAGTATAACCTTTCTTTTGATGGAGGAGTTTGGAGACACTGTCTTTGTAAAGTCTGCAAGTGGATATTTGGACCTCTTTGAGGCCTTCGTTGGAAACGGGATTTCCTCATATAATGTTACCCAGAAGAATTCTCACTAACTTATTTGTGGTGTGTGTATTCAACTCACAGAGATGAACCTTCCTTCAGAAAGAGCAGATTTGAAACACTCTTTTTGTGGAGTTTCCATGTGGAGATTTCAATCGCTTTGAGACCAAAGGTAGAAAAGGAAACATCTTCGTATAACAACTAGACAGAATCATTCACAGAAACTACTTTGTGATGTGTGTGTTCAACTCAAGGAGTTTAACCTTTCTTTTGATGGAGCAGTTTGGAAAAACTCTGTCTGTAAAGTCTGCAAGCAGATATTTGGACCTCTTTGAGGCCTTCGTTGGAAACGGGATTTCTTCATATAATGTTTGATAGGAGAAGTCTCAGTAACTTCTTTGTGCTGTGTGTATTCAACTCATAGAGTTGAACTTTCCTTTAGAAGAGTAGATGTTAAACACCCTTTTTGTGGAATTTGCAGCTGGAGATTTCAAGCGCCTTGAGGCCTACGGTAGAAAAGGAAACATCTTCTTATAAAATCTAGACAGAATCATTCACAGAAACTTCTTTTTGATGTGTGTGTTCAGCTCACAGAGTTTAACCTTTCTTTTGATGGAGCAGTTGGGAAACACACTGTTTGTAATGTCTGCAAGTGGATATTTGGACCTCTTTGAGGCCTTCGTTGGAAACGGGATTTCTTCCTGTAATGTTCGACAGAAGAATTCTCAGTAACTTATTTGTGGTGTGTGTATTCAACTCACAGAGTTGAACCTTCCTTTAGACAGAGCAGATTTGAAACACCCTATTTGTGCAGTTTCCAGTTGGAGATTTCAATCGCTTTGAGGCCAATCATAGAAACGGAAATAACTTTGTATAAAAACAAGACAGAATCATTCTCAGAAACTACTTTGTGATGTGTGCGTTCAACTCAAGGAGTTTAAGCTTTCTTTTCATAGAGTAGTTTGGAAACACTCTGTCTGTAAAGTCTGCAAGCAGATATTTGGACCTCTTTGAGGCCTTCGTTGGAAACGGGATTTCTTCATAGAACGCTAGAAAGAAGAATACTGAGTAAGTTCTTTGTGTTGCCTCTATTCAACTCACAGAGGTGAACTGTCCTTTAGATAGAGCAGATGTGAAACCCTCTTTTTGTGATATTTGCAGGTGGAGATTTCAAGCGCTTTTAGGCCAAATGTAGAAAAGGAAATATCTTCGTATAAAAACTAGACAGAATCATTCTCAGAAACTACTTTGTGATGTGTGCGTTCAATTCACAGAGTATAACCTTTCTTTTGATGGAGGAGTTTGGAGACACTGTCTTTGTAAAGTCTGCAAGTGGATATTTGGACCTCTTTGAGGCCTTCGTTGGAAACGGGATTTCCTCATATAATGTTACCCAGAAGAATTCTCAGTAACTTATTTGTGGTGTGTGTATTCAACTCACAGAGTTGAACCTTCCTTCAGAGAGAGCAGATTTGAAACACTCTTTTGGTGGAGTTTCCATGTGGAGATTTCAATCGCTTTGAGAACAAAGGTAGAAAAGGAAACATCTTCGTATAAAAACTAGACAGAATCATTCACAGAAACTACTTTGTGATGTGTGTGTTCAACTCAAGGAGTTTAACCTTTCTTTTGACGGAGCAGTTTGGAAACACTCTGTCTGTAAAGTCTGCAAGCAGATATTTGGACCTCTTTGAGGCCTTCGTTGGAAACGGGATTTCTTCATATAATGTTTGATAGGAGAAATCTCAGTAACTTCTTTGTGCTGTGTGTATTCAACTCATAGAGTTGAACTTTCCTTTAGAAGACCAGATGTTAAACACCCTTTTTGTGGAATTTGCAGCTGGAGATTTCAAGCGCTTTGAGGCCTACAGTAGAAAAGGAAACATCTTCTTATAAAATCTAGACAGAATCATTCACAGAAACTTCTTTTTGATGTGTGTGTTCATCTCACAGAGTTTAACCTTTCTTTTGACGGAGCAGTTTGGAAAAAATGTGTTTGCATTGTCAGCAACTGGATATTTGGACCTCTTTGAGGCCTTCGTTGGAAACGGGATTTCTTCATGTAATGTTCGACAGAAGAATTCTCAGTAACTTATTTGTGGTGTGTGTATTCAACTCACAGAGTTGAACATTCCTTTAGACAGAGCAGATTTGAAACACCCTATTTGTGCAGTTTCCAGTTGGAGATTTCAATCGCTTTGAGACCAAATGTAGAAAAGGAAACATCTTCGTATAAAAACTAGACAGAATCATTCTCAGAAACTACTTTGTGATGTGTGCGTTCAACTCAAGGAGTTTAAGCTTTCTTTTCATAGAGTAGTTTGGAAACACTCTGTCTGTAAAGTCTGCAAGCAGATATTTGGACCTCTTTGGGGCCTTCGTTGGAAACGGGATTTCTTCATAGAACGCTAGAAAGAAGAATACTGAGTAAGTTCTTTGTGTTGCCTCTATTCAACTCACAGAGGTGAACTGTCCTTTAGACAGAGCAGATGTGAAACCCTCTTTTTGTGATATTTGCAGGTGGAGATTTCAAGCGCTTTTAGGCCAAATGTAGAAAAGGAAATATCTTCGTATAAAAACTAGACAGAATCATTCTCAGAAACTACTTTGTGATGTGTGCGTTCAATTCACAGAGTATAACCTTTCTTTTGATGGAGGAGTTTGGAGACACTGTCTTTGTAAAGTCTGCAAGTGGATATTTGGACCTCTTTGAGGCCTTCGTTGGAAACGGGATTTCCTCATATAATGTTACCCAGAAGAATTCTCAGTAACTTATTTGTGGTGTGTGTATTCAACTCACAGAGTTGAACCTTCCTTCAGAAAGAGCAGATTTGAAACACTCTTTTTGTGGAGTTTCCATGTGGAGATTTCAATCGCTTTGAGACCAAAGGTAGAAAAGGAAACATCTTCGTATAAAAACTAGACAGAATCATTCACAGAAACTACTTTGTGATGTGTGTGTTCAACTCAAGGAGTTTAACCTTTCTTTTGATGGAGCAGTTTGGAAACACTCTGTCTGTAAAGTCTGCAAGCAGATATTTGGACCTCTTTGAGGCCTTCGTTGGAAACGGGATTTCTTCATATAATGTTTGATAGGAGAAGTCTCAGTAACTTCTTTGTGCTGTGTGTATTCAACTCATAGAGTTGAACTTTCCTTTAGAAGAGCAGATGTTAAACACCCTTTTTGTGGAATTTGCAGCTGGAGATTTCAAGCGCTTTGAGGCCTACGGTAGAAAAGGAAACATCTTCTTATAAAATCTAGACAGAATCATTCACAGAAACTTCTTTTTGATGTGTGTGTTCAGCTCACAGAGTTTAACCTTTCTTTTGATGGAGCAGTTTGGAAACACTCTGTTTGTAATGTCTGCAAGTGGATATTTGGACCTCTTTGAGGCCTTCGCTGGAAACGGGATTTCTTCCTGTAATGTTCGACAGAAGAATTCTCAGTAACTTATTTGTGGTGTGTGTATTCAACTCACAGAGTTGAACCATCCTTTAGACAGAGCAGATTTGAAACACCCTATTTGTGCAGTTTCCAGTTGGAGATTTCAATCCCTTTGAGACCAAATGTAGAAAAGGAAACATCTTCGTATAAAAACTAGACAGAATCATTCTCAGAAACTACTTTGTGATGTGTGCGTTCAACTCAAGGAGTTTAAGCTTTCTTTTCATAGAGTAGTTTGGAAACACTCTGTCTGTAAAGTCTGCAAGCAGATATTTGGACCTCTTTGAGGCCTTCGTTGGAAACGGGATTTCTTCATAGAACGCTAGAAAGAAGAATACTGAGTAAGTTCTTTGTGTTGCCTCTATTCAACTCACAGAGGTGAACTGTCCTTTAGACAGAGCAGATGTGAAACCCTCTTTTTGTGATATTTGCAGGTGGAGATTTCAAGCGCTTTTAGGCCAAATGTAGAAAAGGAAATATCTTCGTATAAAAACTAGACAGAATCATTCTCAGAAACTACTTTGTGATGTGTGCGTTCAATTCACAGAGTATAACCATTCTTTTGATGGAGGAGTTTGGAGACACTGTCTTTGTAAAGTCTGCAACTGGATATTTGGACCTCTTTGAGGCCTTCGTTGGAAACGGGATTTCCTCATATAATGTTACACAGAAGAATTCTCAGTAACTTATTTGTCGTGTGTGTATTCAACTCACAGAGTTGAACCTTCCTTCAGAAAGAGCAGATTTGAAACACTCTTTTTGTGGAGTTTCCATGTGGAGATTTCAATCACTTTGAGACCAAAGGTAGAAAAGGAAACATCTTCGTATAAAAACTAGACAGAATCACTCACAGAAACTACTTTGTGATGTGTGTGTTCAACTCACAGAGTTTAACCTTTCTTTGGATGGAGCAGTTTGGAAACACTCTGTTTGTCACGTCTGCAAGTGGATATTTGGACCTCTTTGAGGCCTTCGTTGGAAACGGGATTTCTTCATATAGTGTTTGATAGGAGAAGTCTCCAGTAACTTCTTTGTGCTGTGTGTATTCAACTCATAGAGTTGAACTTTCCTTTAGAAGAGCAGATGTTAAACACCCTTTTTGTGGAATTTGCAGCTGGAGATTTCAAGCGCTTTGAGGCCTACGGTAGAAAAGGAAACATCTTCTTATAAAATCTAGACAGAAACATTCACAGAAACTTCTTTTTGATGTGTGTGTTCAGCTCACAGAGTTTAACCTTTCTTTTGATGGAGCAGTTTGGAAACACTCTGTAATGTCTGCAAGTGGATATTTGGACCTCTTTGAGGCCTTCGTTGGAAACGGGATTTCTTCATGTAATGTTCGACAGAAGAATTCTCAGTAACTTATTTGTGATGTGTGTATTCAACTCACAGGGTTGAACCTTCCTTTAGACAGAGCAGATTTGAAACACCCTATTTGTGCAGTTTCCAGTTGGAGATTTCAATCGCTTTGAGACCAAATGTAGAAAAGGAAACATCTTCGTATAAAAACTAGACAGAATCATTCTCAGAAACTACTTTGTGATGTGTGCATTCAACTCAAGGAGTTTAAGCTTTCTTTTCATAGAGTAGTTTGGAAACACTCTGTCTGTAAAGTCTGCAAGCAGATATTTGGACCTCTTTGAGGCCTTCGTTGGAAAAGGGATTTCTTCATAGAACGCTAGAAAGAAGAATACTGAGTAAGTTCTTTGTGTTGCCTCTATTCAACTCACAGAGGTGAACTGTCCTTTAGACAGAGCAGATGTGAAACCCTCTTTTTGGGATATTTGCAGGTGGAGATTTCAAGCGCTTTTAGGCCAAATGTAGAAAAGGAAATATCTTCGTATAAAAACTAGACAGAATCATTCTCAGAAACTACTTTGTGATGTGTGCGTTCAATTCACAGAGTATAACCTTTCTTTTGATGGAGGAGTTTGGAGACACTGTCTTTGTAAAGTCTGCATGTGGATATTTGGACCTCTTTGAGGCCTTCGTTGGAAACGGGATTTCCTCATATAATGTTACACAGAAGAATTCTCAGTAACTTATTTGTGGTGTGTGTATTCAACTCACAGAGTTGAACCTTCCTTCAGAAAGAGCAGATTTGAAACACTCTTTTTGTGGAGTTTCCATGTGGAGATTTCAATCGCTTTGAGACCAAAGGTAGAAAAGGAAACATCTTCGTATAAAAACTAGACAGAATCATTCACAGAAACTACTTTGTGATGTGTGTGTTCAACTCAAGGAGTTTAACCTTTCTTTTGATGGAGCACTTTGGAAACACTCTGTCTGTAAAGTCTGCAAGCAGATATTTGGACCTCTTTGAGGCCTTCGTTGGAAACGGGATTTCTTCATATAATGTTTGATAGGAGAAGTCTCAGTAACTTCTTTGTGCTGTGTGTATTCAACTCATAGAGTTGAACTTTCCTTTAGAAGAGCAGATGTTAAACACCCTTTTTGTGGAATTTGCAGCTGGAGATTTCAAGCGCTTTGAGGCCTACGGTAGAAAAGGAAACATCTTCTTATAAAATCTAGACAGAATCATTCACAGAAACTTCTTTTTGATGTGTGTGTTCAGCTCACAGAGTTTAACCTTTGTTTTGATGGAGCAGTTTGGAAACACTCTGTTTGTAATGTCTGCAAGTGGATATTTGGACCTCTTTGAGGCCTTCGTTGGAAACGGGATTTCTTCAAGTAATGTTCGACAGAAGAATTCTCAGTAACTTATTTGTGGTGTGTGTATTCAACTCAAAGAGTTGAACCTTCCTTTAGACAGAGCAGATTTGAAACACCCTATTTGTGCAGTTTCCAGTTGGAGATTTCAATCGCTTTGAGACCAAATGTAGAAAAGGAAACATCTTCGTATAAAAACTAGACAGAATCATTCTCAGAAACTACTTTGTGATGTGTGCGTTCAACTCAAGGAGTTTAAGCTTTCTTTTCATAGAGTAGTTTGGAAACACTCTGTCTGTAAAGTCTGCAAGCAGATATTTGACCTCTTTGAGGCCTTCGTTGGAAACGGGATTTCTTCATAGAACGCTAGAAAGAAGAATACTAAGTTCTTTGTGTTGCCTCTATTCTACTCACAGAGGAGAACTGTCCTTTAGACAGAGCAGATGTGAAACCCTCTTTTTGTGATACTTGCCGGTGGAGATTTCAAGGGCTTTTAGGCCTAATGTAGAAAAGGAAATATCTTCGTATAAAAACTAGACAGAATCATTCTCAGAAACTACTTTGTGATGTGTGCGTTCAATTCACAGAGTATAACCTTTCTTTTGATGGAGGAGTTTGGAGACACTGTCTTTGTAAAGTCTGCAAGTGGATATTTGGACCTCTTTGAGGCCTTCGTTGGAAACGGGATTTCCTCATATAATGTTACACAGAAGAATTCTCAGTAACTTATTTGTGGTGTGTTTATTCAACTCACAGAGGTGAACCTTCCTTCAGAAAGAGCAGATTTGAAACACTCTTTTTGTGGAGTTTCCATGTGGAGATTTCAATCGCTTTGAGACCAAAGGTAGAAAAGGAAACATCTTCGTATAAAAACTAGACAGAATCATTCACAGAAACTACTTTGTGATGTGTGTGTTCAACTCAAGGAGTTTAACCTTTCTTTTGATGGAGCAGTTTGGAAGCGCTCTGTCTGTAAAGTCTGCAAGCAGATATTTGGACCTCTTTGAGGCCTTCGTTGGAAACGGGATTTCTTCATATAATGTTTGATAGGAGAAGTCTCAGTAACTTCTTTGTGCTGTGTGTATTCAACTCATAGAGTTGAACTTTCCTTTAGAAGAGCAGATGTTAAACACCCTTTTTGTGGAATTTGCAGCTGGAGATTTCAAGCGCTTTGAGGCCTACGGTAGAAAAGGAAACATCTTCTTATAAAATCTAGACAGAATCATTCACAGAAACTTCTTTTTGATGTGTGTGTTCAGCTCACAGAGTTTAACCTTTCTTTTGATGGAGCAGTTTGGAAACACTCTGTAATGTCTGCAAGTGGATATTTGGACCTCTTTGAGGCCTTCGTTGGAAACGGGATTTCTTCATGTAATGTTCGACAGAAGAATTCTCAGTAACTTATTTGTGGTGTGTGTATTCAACTCACAGAGTTGAACATTCCTTTAGACAGAGCAGATTTGAAACACCCTATTTCTGCAGTTTCCAGTTGGAGATTTCAATCGCTTTGAGACCAAATGTAGAAAAGGAAACATCTTCGTATAAAAACTAGACAGAATCATTCTCAGAAACTACTTTGTGATGTGTGCGTTCAACTCAAGGAGTTTAAGCTTTCTTTTCATAGAGTAGTTTGGAAACACTCTGTCTGTAAAGTCTGCAAGCAGATATTTGGACCTCTTTGGGGCCTTCGTTGGAAACGGGATTTCTTCATAGAACGCTAGAAAGAAGAATACTGAGTAAGTTCTTTGTGTTGCCTCTATTCAACTCACAGAGGTGAACTGTCCTTTAGACAGAGCAGATGTGAAACCCTCTTTTTGTGGTATTTGCAAGTGGAGATTTCAAGCGCTTTTAGGCCAAATGTAGTAAAGGAAATATCTTCGTATAAAAACTGGACAGAATCATTCTCAGAAACTACTTTGTGATGTGTGCGTTCAATTCACAGAGTATAACCTTTCTTTTGATGGAGGAGTTTGGAGACACTGTCTTTGTAAAGTCTGCAAGTGGATATTTGGACCTCTTTGAGGCCTTCGTTGGAAACGGGATTTCCTCATATAATGTTACACAGAAGAATTCTCAGTAACTTATTTGTGGTGTGTGTATTCAACTCACAGAGTTGAACCTTCCTTCAGAAAGAGCAGATTTGAAACACTCTTTTTGTGGAGTTTCCATGTGGAGATTTCAATCGCTTTGAGACCAAAGGTAGAAAAGGAAACATCTTCGTATAAAAACTAGACAGAATCATTCACAGAAACTACTTTGTGATGTGTGTGTTCAACTCAAGGAGGTTAACCTTTCTTTTGATGGAGCAGTTTGGAAACACTCTGTCTGTAAAGTCTGCAAGCAGATATTTGGACCTCTTTGAGGCCTTCGTTGGAAACGGGATTTCTTCATATAATGTTTGATAGGAGAAGTCTCAGTAACTTCTTTGTGCTGTGTGTATTCAACTCATAGAGTTGAACTTTCCTTTAGAAGAGCAGATGTTAAACACCCTTTTTGTGGAATTTGCAGCTGGAGATTTCAAGCGCTTTGAGGCCTACGGTAGAAAAGGAAACATCTTCTTATAAAATCTAGACAGAATCATTCTCAGAAACTACTTTGTGATGTGTGCGTTCAATTCACAGAGTATAACCTTTCTTTTGATGGAGCAGTTTGGAAACACTCTGTTTGTAATGTCTGCAAGTGGATATTTGGACCTCTTTGAGGCCTTCGTTGGAAACGGGATTTCTTCAAGTAGTGTTCGAAAGAAGAATTCTCAGTAACTTATTTGTGGTGTGTGTATTCAACTCACAGAGTTGAACCTTCCTTTAGACAGAGCAGATTTGAAACACCCTATTTGTGCAGTTTCCAGTTGGAGATTTCAATCGCTTTGAGACCAAATGTAGAAAAGGAAACATCTTCGTATAAAAACTAGACAGAATCATTCTCAGAAACTACTTTGTGATGTGTGCGTTCAACTCAAGGAGTTTAAGCTTTCTTTTCATAGAGTAGTTCGGAAACACTCTGTCTGTAAAGTCTGCAAGCAGATATTTGGACCTCTTTGGGGCCTTCGTTGGAAACGGGATTTCTTCATAGAACGCTAGAAAGAAGAATACTGAGTAAGTTCTTTGTGTTGCCTCTATTCAACTCACAGAGGTGAACTGTCCTTTAGACAGAGCAGATGTGAAACCCTCTTTTTGTGATATTTGCAGGTGGAGATTTCAAGCGCTTTTAGGCCAAATGTAGAAAAGGAAATATCTTCGTATAAAAACTAGACAGAATCATTCTCAGAAACTACTTTGTGATGTGTGCGTTCAATTCACAGAGTATAACCTTTCTTTTGATGGAGGAGTTTGGAGACACTGTCTTTGTAAAGTCTGCAAGTGGATATTTGGACCTCTTTGAGGCCTTCGTTGGAAACGGGATTTCCTCATATAATGTTACACAGAAGAATTCTCAGTAACTTATTTGTGGTGTGTTTATTCAACTCACAGAGGTGAACCTTCCTTCAGAAAGAGCAGATTTGAAACACTCTTTTTGTGGAGTTTCCATGTGGAGATTTCAATCGCTTTGAGACCAAAGGTAGAAAAGGAAACATCTTCGTATAAAAACTAGACAGAATCATTCACAGAAACTACTTTGTGATGTGTGTGTTCAACTCAAGGAGTTTAACCTTTCTTTTGATGGAGCAGTTTGGAAACACTCTGTCTGTAAAGTCTGCAAGCAGATATTTGGACCTCTTTGAGGCCTTCGTTGGAAACGGGATTTCTTCATATAATGTTAGACAGAAGAAGTCTCAGTAACTTCTTTGTGCTGTGTGTATTCAACTCATAGAGTTGAACTTTCCTTTAGAAGAGCAGATGTTAAACACCCTTTTTGTGGAATTTGCAGCTGGAGATTTCAAGCGCTTTGAGGCCTACGGTAGAAAAGGAAACATCTTCTTATAAAATCTAGACAGAATCATTCACAGAAACTTCTTTTTCATGTGTGTGTTCATCTCACAAAGTTTAACCTTACTTTTGACGGAGCAGTTTGCAAACACTGTGTTTGCCATGTCGGCAAGTGGATATTTGGACCTCTTTGAGGCCTTCGTTGGAAACGGGATTTCTTCATATAATGCTACACAGAAGAATTCTCAGTAACTTATTTGTGGTGTGTGTATTCAACTCACAGAGTTGAACCTTCCTTCAGAAAGAGCAGATTTGAAACACTCTTTTGTGGAGTTTCCATGTGGAGATTTCAATCGCTTTGAGACCAAAGGTAGAAAAGGAAACATCTTCGTATAAAAACTAGACAGAATCATTCACAGAAACTACTTTGTGATGTGTGTGTTCAGCTCACAGAGTTTAACCTTTCTTTTGATGGTGCAGTTTGGAAACACTCTGTTTGACAAGTCTGCAAGTGGATATTTGGACCTCTTTGAGGCCTTCGTTGGAAACGGGATTTCTTCATATAATGTTAGACAGAAGAAGTCTCAGTAACTTCTTAGTGCTGTGTGAATTCAACTCATAGAGTTGAAATCTCCTTTAGAAGAGCAGATGTTAAATACCCTTTTTGTGGAATTTGCAGCTGGAGATTTCAAGCGCTTTGAGGCCTACGGTAGAAAAGGAAACATCTTCTTATAAAATCTAGACAGAATCATTCACAGAAACTTCTTTTTGATGTGTGTGTTCATCTCACAGAGTTTAACGTTTCTTTTCACGGAGCAGTTTGCAAACACTGTGTTTGCCATGTCGGCAAGTGGATATTTGGACCTCTTTGAGGCCTTCGTTGGAAACGGGACTTCTTCATGTAATGTTCGAGAGAAGAATTCTCAGTAACTTATTTGTGGTGTGTGTATTCAACTCAAAGAGTTGAACCTTCCTTTAGACAGAGCAGATTTGAAACACCCTATTTGTGCAGTTTCCAGTTGGAGATTTCAATCGCTTTGAGGCCAATCATACAAACGGAAAGATCTTCGTATAAAAACAAGACAGAATCATTCTCAGAAACTATTTTTTGATGTGTGCGTTCAACTCAAGGAGTTTAAGCTTTCTTTTCATAGAGTAGTTTGGAAACACTCTGTCTGTAAAGTCTGCAAGCAGATATTTGGACCTCTTTGAGGCCTTCGTTGGAAACGGGATTTCTTCAGGTAACGCTAGAAAGAAGAATACTGAGTAAGTTCTTTGTGTTGCCTCTACTCAACTCACAGAGGTGAACTGTCCTTTAGACAGAACAGATGTGAAACCCTCTTTTTGTGATATTTGCAGGTGGAGATTTCAAGCGCTTTTAGGCCAAATGTAGAAAAGGAAATATCTTCGTATAAAAACTAGACAGAATCATTCTCAGAAACTACTTTGTGATGTGTGCGTTCAATTCACAGAGTATAACCTTTCTTTTGATGGAGGAGTTTGGAGACACTGTCTTTGTAAAGTCTGCAAGTGGATATTTGGACCTCTTTGAGGCCTTCGTTGGAAACGGGATTTCCTCATATAATGTTACACAGAGCCGGGCACAGTGGCTCACACCTGTAATCCCAGCACTTTGGGAGGCCGAGGCGGGTGGATTTGTGGTGTGTGTATTCAACTCACAGAGTTGAACCTTCCTTCAGAAAGAGCAGATTTGAAACACTCTTTTTGTGGAGTTTCCATGTGGAGATTTCAATCGCATTGAGACCAAAGGTAGAAAAGGAAACATCTTCGTATAAAAACTAGACAGAAT